>NC_000015.10:88107944-88259459 GCF_000001405.40 Homo sapiens | reverse complement strand
ACAGAGGGCCACACTTTGGGTTTTGAGGATCTGGTCTTAACGTGGTCATTTTACAGATGGGAAAGCGGAGTCCCAGAAAGCTTGTCATTTCCCTGTGGTTAGAAATGAAATTCTGCTCTTCCCCACTCTAGTCTATCACCTGCTTTTTTTTTTTAAACCTTTAAGTTCAGGGGTACGTGTGTAGGATGTGCAGCTTTGTTATACAGGTAGACATGTGTCATGGGGTTTGTCGTACAGATTATTTCATCACCCAGGTATTAAGCCTGGTATCCATGAGTTATTTTTCCTGATCCTCTCCCTCCTCCCACCTTCTACCCTCTGGTAGACCCTCATGTGCATTGTCCCCTCTATGTGTCCATGCGTCACCTGCTTTTGAAAGGGCTTCCCTCTTTTTCAGCTGTCGCTTCCTGCTCAGGCCCAGAGTGTGAGCATAAACGTAGCACCCCATCTTAATCCCATTTTACTGTCAGGATGAAAGACTTCTTGCCCATCAGGGCCCCTTGCTCCACAATCTGCATTTTTACCAAATCCAGAGGGGTTTTTAAAGGTTTTTTGTTGTTGTTGTTTTTGTTGTTCTAACTTATGGATGTCTCTTCTTCTCTGCTTGACATGTTAAAAATCCTCTCTCTCTCTCTTTCTTTCTCTCTCTCTCTCTCTCTCAAAAAAGTGGGCTGGGCATCTTTTGGACACAACCATTTCAGTTCCAGGCTGGAGCACTGATGCTGGGCTGAATCCACTTGGCGTTCCCTGCCCAGGAGTGGTCTGAGAGAGGCTGTGTTTCTCTGCTGCCACCTGCCACCTCCCAAGAGAGGCCAAGTGTTAGGATCTGACTACACCTCAGTTTCCTGACTCTCAGATATTCTAAAGCCAATCCCAGAATGGCACTTGAAGTGACAGGGAAATTCCCAGTGGCCTAAGGACAGCCAGGATTGGCCTAGGGCCAGTAGCAAGTGGTTTGAGAGTCCAAGGAGGTCTTCACACTCTGTCCCCGCCTGCTGGTGGGAGGGCAAAATGCCAGTCTGGAGACAAGGCCATAATGGCGACGGGGGTAAAAATCTCCCTGGGGCCAAGGGAAGGTGGAACGTGACGGGAAGTCGGGAAAACTGCCTTGTATAGGCATGTTCTTTTCTTCCATTTTTTTCGTCCAAGTTTTTACTCCAAGCGACAGTGCCACCCGAAGGCGACCGGCCTGTTTGTGGTTGCGCCTGGGGCAGGCGGTGACACCGGCATACCCCTTCCCCCATCTTGCCTGCAAGTTGCATGACCTGCATCGGAATCCACAGGGGGGCGGGGGAGACTCCTTTCAGATACTGGATGCAGTTGAATTGAATTCAATGTATTTTGCTTCCTCGCCTGCCCTCCTCCAAGCTCGGGAAGGAGAACCCTGCTTTCTTCTGCGTGTGAATGCTGTAGTGTGTCTGCCTGCTCGGACTCCCCTAACCCTTTCTTCTCCTTTCCCACAGCGAATGCTCGTTTTTTTTTTTTTCAGCAAACAGCTCACACTTGGCATCTTTATGTTTTATTAAGAAAAAAATCCCTACCAGCGCAAAAGCGGGGCCCCCCCCACACACACTTCTTTCCCGGATGAGATCTGAGCTCTCGTCGAAAGCTGCACCTGCTTTGCGTCCCTACCAGGAAGGGGTGCTTGTGTGGGAGGGAAGGAGGAGGTTCTGCGCCCCCGAATCCGGAGAAAGCAGCCCGCCCGCCCCCTCACCCGGCAGCCAGCTCAGCTCACCCGAGAGCTGAGCCCGAGAAGCCGGCCTCTGACGGTGCTGGCGTGGCGCTTGCCAAAATATGCCCCTTGCATCTCAATTTCCCCCGGCCATTTCTCTTGCACGCACAGCTCGCCCGGGGCCACCTCGGCTCTCCAGCGCAGCCCTTTCGACCCCTGTTTCTTCCTTCCCCGATCCATGCCTGCTCAAGGCCGAATGCAAAACCCACCTCCAAGAAAGCGCAGCGGGCACGGGGGGCACCTAGCGTGCCATGTCCCGCAGTCCCCTCCCAGCCAAGACCAGAGCCCCAGACTCTAGATTACGGAAATGAGTGTCATTCAGACCAAGGACTGCGCGTCTGCGGTCCCGGTCCCCGGCTCTGGGTGCTTCTCTGGGGTGTCTGTGCGCTCCGGCACCCCCCGTCGCCGTCCGTGAGCCTGCGCCCCCCACCCACCCAGGCTTGGGAGCGCCCCCCACCCAAGGCTTGGGAGCACTCCCCAATCACCTCCGCCACGTTCATTTCACTTCCTACCGCGGTCCGGATTGCAGCAAAACCGGGTAGCGCGAGGGCCAAAAAGTGGAAAGGAGAGCGCCTTTCCGTGTCGTGCAGCCAGCTCGCCAACTCTCCCTCCCCAGCCCCGACCCTCGCAATCTCAAATGCAACTTTTTCCCTTCGGTCTCGGTTTCCCCCGGGCTGCGGCTAGCGGGCGCCGCGCTGCGAGGCGTGGAGCGGGCGGGCTGCCGCGAGGCTGCGGGTGGCGGTGCCGGCTACAGCCGCGAGCCGGCGAGTGGGTGGGTGGGTGGGTGGGGAGGAGGGAGAGGACAGGCGGGGAGAGAGACGGGTGTGGGGAGGGGAGGGAGGGGGAGATTCCGCTCTCCTGCCGCTCCCAGCCCGGGCGGGGGGCGGGGGGAGGAGGCCGCGACGAGGGAGGGGAGGAGGGAGGGAGGAAGGGAGGGAGGGAGCCGAGGAAGACGCTCCGATAACCCGTGCGTTTCGTAAGGCTCGGAGCACTTGTACATTTCTGCAGCCGCGCGGCGAGCCATTCGCGGCGGCTGCTGCAGCTCCTACTGCATCTTCCTTCTCTTCCTTTCCTCGGGCTCCGGGTGTGTGTATGTGTGAGAGTGAGTGTGTGTGTTTTGCAGGTGCGTGGTGTGTCCGTTTTAATTCTGCCCAGTAGGTGGGACTTGGTGACTTTAGCACCATTTTTTCCTTTTCCTTTTTTTTTTTTGCCTCCCCACCGTCTGTTGCAACCCTGCAAAGTCTCGGAGTCGGAGAGCGCGCCTCGCTTCCAGAGCCCCCGGACCCGGCGAGTCAGCGATCGCCGAGCCGGCCACCATGCCCGGCAGACCGCGCCACTAGGCGCTCCTCGCGGCTCCCACCCGGCGGCGGCGGCGGCGGCGGCGGCGTCCGCGATGGTTTCAGACGCTGAAGGATTTTGCATCTGATCGCTCGGCGTTTCAAAGGCAGAGGCCCCCCCTCCCCCTTCCCCCCTCCCTCGCCGTCTTTGTTTCCTTCCCCCCCTGCTCTCCCCACTCCCCCCACCCCACCCCCCTCTCCTCTCCTCCTCCTCTTTTTTAGAAGCAGCGATCGGAGATGGATGTCTCTCTTTGCCCAGCCAAGTGTAGTTTCTGGCGGATTTTCTTGCTGGGAAGCGTCTGGCTGGACTATGTGGGCTCCGTGCTGGCTTGCCCTGCAAATTGTGTCTGCAGCAAGACTGAGATCAATTGCCGGCGGCCGGACGATGGGAACCTCTTCCCCCTCCTGGAAGGGCAGGATTCAGGGAACAGCAATGGGAACGCCAGTATCAACATCACGGACATCTCAAGGAATATCACTTCCATGTAAGTCAGGCGGCCGCTCCCCAGCCTGCCTCCCCCGCGCTCTGCGTCTCCCTCCTGCCCACCCGCGGCCGGGAGCCGGCCCTCCGCCCGCCCCAGCTCGCCGCTGCCCGCCGCCCGCTGGGCGCGCGTCAGGCTCGCTCTGGCTCGGGAGATGCTCTCCGGCTGCGCATTCCAGGTGACTCCGGCCCTGGCGAGGCGCGATCCGGCTATGCGTGTGTGTGCCTCTCCCCGGAGAGGACCCCGGCCGCCGAGGGCACGCGGGGCCCAGCTACCGCCCGCCTCCCAACCAGTTGCTGGCTCGTTTCGATGGTGCAAATTGTTTTTTTTTGCTCCCCACTAAATAGCAACAGTTTGGCCACGCTCAAGTGGAATAAAGTAGACGAGGTTCGATTCTTTGGCAGAGGCGGCAGCGGCGGTGGCAGCGGCGGCAGCGCTTAGCCGGCAGGGAAGGTGACAGATAGGGACTGCTCGCGATCCAGCCGAGGTGTTTAACTATTTCCATTTGGAAACAGCAAAACATGCTGACAAGTAAACAAGTTGCGAGCTGGCTGCTCGCGGGGAGACTTTGGACGTGTGGAGGCCGTCATGGACGCCTACCTCTTCCCTTCCCCTCCTGCAGCCCGCCCTCTCCAGCCCCATTTTGGGCATTTCCGAGACACCCCTTTGCCACCCTCATCTGCATCTGGGCGCCTACAGATCCCTTCCCAGTTTGGGCTTTGATAACTGCTCGGAACTATTCCGAGTCAGGATGGCGCAGGGAGAGGAGAGGGCGTGTGTTTTGAGGAGAGGGGTTTCTTGTGTGATCGTGCGGATCGGTTCATTTGGAACATTCAACTCTGGCTGGCTTTTGCTTGGTTCTGCCCCCTCCGAGGGAGACCAGTGGTGGCCTGCTCTTTTCTCCTTGCTATTTTTCTTTGGTGGGGATGGCAGCAGACGCAAAGGAGAGGACAGATCGAGGGCTGGGGACTGGAGAGTCTGCTCCTCTTTTCTTTCGTTGACCTCGGCCAGGTGACCCCTTCCTAACCTACCACCCTGGAGAAGGGTGTGGACCATACTGGAATTGCTCAGAGGATAATTCTCACCTCTTTTCCCCCAAGGCTTCCAGCCCTTGGGGACCCTCAGCAATGGGTAGGCAGCTGAGAAGGGTTTGTGCTGAGGTCCTGGCCAAGGTCTGGAGGAAGGCATTTTGGGTGGCTCTTTACCCCTTCGACGGACTTAAGGGGGCCGGACCTGCCTTTGGTGCTGCTCTGGGAGCACCTCCCCTTGCTTCAGCCCAGGGCCATGGGGCTGCAAAGCCTGGAGGAATTGCAGTCCTGCTCTTTGGAAAGCCCACCAGCCCTCTCGGCTTAATGGAGCTTCTGCTTGCGCTCTCGCAGCTGACAGTTTGAGGGAAATGGATAGCCCAGGAGATGTCTCTGACTCCTGGCCCAGGAGACAAGCTTGACCCATATCTCAGCTCTGCTGTTCACCCCCTTACCCTCTTCAACCCGGCCAGAGATGACAAGATAAACAGCCAAGGGGCGGGGGTCAGCAGGGAGGGCAGGAGGAACAGGACAGACCCAACTGTGCCTCTCCCCCACTGCAGGCCACAGGCTTCCAGCATTCCCAAGGATGCAGGGAGAAGGGTTCAGAGTGAGACTGTTAGGGAAACTCAGACTTGGAAGTGCATTGCTGGGGCTGTATGTGTATGTGTGTAGGGGGTGGATGTGGGTAGTAGGGTGCTGGTGAAGGTGGGAGCTGAGCAGCCAGTCTTGGTGCTCAGAAGCCTGACCTAGAGATTGCCAGGGGTGGGCCAAGGGTTGGAAGAAGGGGCCCCTGGTACCCAGCCTGGGTCTCTGGGAATGGGTGAGCTGCATCCAGTGTGCTGCTCCAAGGATGTGTCTGTCTGTAGAAAGCCAGTGGGAGGCAGGGATGGTCACAATCACGTAGGCTCTTTATAGCCACACAGAGGTGTTGCTCCTCTGAAAATGATGCTCAGGGAAGCAGTTTCATAGGGCAGAGTTGGGTTAGCCTTTCTAGGCTGCCAGAAAGGTCTGTGATGGGAGGGGACTGGGGTGGCCTCTTGCCCTCTTTGGTACTGGAGGGCCTCAGGAGGGCGTCTGGGAGGATAGTGAGCAGGGAGTGGATCTGGAGCCCCTCTGTGTGTGTCCCCATTCTTGTTTCAGGACTTGGATTCTGAGAGGCCATCAGGACTCCTTTCTCTAAATCCACCCAACACCAAAGAACAAGGGAAATGGATTCCCACAGGAGCTGTGCCAGTGGCAGGTGGGGGAGGGTCAGAGGTCATGGGTCAAATGACCTCTCCTTGCCCCATCTTTTCCCCAGTGCCCTGTTATATCTATGGCTGGTATTGACTGAGCTCGAGAAGAGCCCAGATTTCCACTCCAGAGCCAGGGGGCTGGAGAGAGGGCGGAGAGTCACGCTTACCCCGGAAAGTCAGCATCCCCATCCCTGTTTGACTTCTGAGGAAATGGAGGCTTGGGGTGGTAAGGTCACTTGCCCCAGACACACAATCCCAACAGGAACCCCCACTGTGTGGGGCTGCATATGGAGCAGGCTGGAAGAGGGATGTGCGGGCAGAGAGAAGCACCCGCAGCTGGGGTCAGTTCTTGTTTTAGTATGACTTGGGAAGAGGGCTTCAGTTGAAGCCCGTGCCTTGCTGGAGAGTTGTTCTTCAGATTTCTGATGTTATCAAGGAAATGGGACCAAGAGGTCCCCTAGCTCCCTACTGGCCTGAAGCTCTTGATGCTGGTGGCTGCCCCAGGGTATAGCTTGGGCACACTCTGGGTAGAAGATGCTGAGGCCTCCACAGTTTCACCCTCTTGTTCTTCGGGCTGTAATGTTTCGAGATCCTTCCTTCAAGTGCTGAACTGATTGTAACTGAGTTTCCAGAGGGACAAGAGGTTTCCCTGTGGTTCTGCTTCTCAGGGATGGTGTGTGGAGTGATTCCTGTGTGGCCATCCAAGGAAGCTGGCTGGGAACTGCCTCTGATGGGGGAGGCCATCTCCCCATTCAGCTGCCCTGTTTGTATCTGGAGGAAATCAGTTGCAAGGCATCAGAGCATAAGTGTGGGTCTCACCTCCACCCCTCACCAGAGCCACGCTCCTCCAAAGGGCCCTCCCTTTTGGCCCCTTTCTGCCCAGGAGGCCAATCCCTTTGCCTTTGCAGCTGTTGATACACAGGAACCTCATGGAGCCTGGAAGGGTCCATGCGCAGCCACACCCAACCAGGCTGTGACGTCACAAAGGCAGGAGGGTGGTGGCCATGGTGGACTGTCTGGGCCGCTTTGCTAGGCCAGGCCTACCTGGGGCTGGGTTGGAGTGGTATGGTCTTTAGCTGTTAGAAAGAAGATGAAGTGGGAGAGGATGGCATGGCTGGACCAGGTATGCTTGGGGCTGGCTACCTCGGCTTGCAAAGACCACGGGCTCTTAGCTGGGACTCTGAGTCGCCAGCTGGGTCTCACTCTGAGCCGCCACAGGGTCCCTGGCATTTGGCAGCTCTCTGGTCCCTTCATTTCCATGGCCCTCCCTGAAGGCCCTCTTCTGGCTGGCTGAAGGATCATTCGGGGCTTTGGCCGTCATGTTGGCTCCTGAGTCTCATTCTTTCTAAGGATCAAGGGGAGACCCAGCCTTGACAATGACCCAGCAGGGTATGAGCCAGGCCCCAAAGGCATCATGGGGCTCACTCTCGGTAGGCACAGTTTGGTGCTCAGAACCCCAGGATTAGGACTAGGTCTGAGAGAGGTGGGCAGAAATGTGAGGGGCTGTTGACATGAGATTTGGAAGCAGGAGTAGTTACAGCCCCAGAGAAAGGTACTTCCAGGATCAAACCTGGAGACCTTGGTCTCCTGAGGCCCTGGGGTTTTCCACCAAGGAAAGGCTATTGGTGGCTCCAGAGCCAAGACCCCCTGCCCCAGGAAGCCCAGCAGGTCAAGCTTCTGTCATACACCCTGGGGCCAAGGGCATCTGCTCTGCACCTCCATGGGACCTGAGGCCATGACAGCTTTGGGCAAAAACCAGCCCAACCTGGCCACTGCTTTGAAAGTCCTCATCTACTGGCCCCAGGAAGGCTAAGCCTGCAACCTGGAAGGTTCCTTAGGGTCCTAGAAGGCTCCTACTACCCTCCTGCCTGGCTGAACAGGAGGTGCTGCTGTGAGAAAGGGAGGGCCTGTCCTTGCCTTGCCAGTCCCTGCCAGCTGCTGCTTCTGTCCAACTCTGTAGAAGGACCAGGGCCCCAACTCAGCTGGCTCTTGGGTGGGTGTGGGTAGCCTGAGGCCCTCCTTTGGTATGGCCCTTGCCAATATCACGGCATTTCCACTGTGGCCTGGGTCCCCATCCCATGTGCTCCCATGGGTGGCTTGCACAGAAGTCATAGGCATGGTCTCCAGCCTCCCCTCGGGGCCTCCAGTTGGCTGGTGGCAGAGAAAGGGATGGATCATGTGAATCCCACCTTGGCTCTGCCCCTAACTCCCTGTGAGCTCCATCAGGGCACTCTAGACTTTCAGAGCCTGTAAATTCAACTATGAATTGAGGCCGCAGGGCAGAGTGTTTCTTCCAACTTGGACATATGTCATCTCAGGGCCCAGAGAACTTCCCCCAGGAGGCTCGGCCACGCCACTTTTAAGGGCATCTCCTGGGGATGGCAGTGATCCTTGTGATGGTGCCAGGAGGAGGTGCACTCCCTCACTGACCTTGGGACAGTGGTTATTCTCCTCTTCCTTCCCTTCCCACCTCTAGCAAACTCAGGCCACCCAGAATTTGACACCATTTGTGACACATGACACTATTTAGAGTCAACTGCCCAGACCAAATGGCATATTTAACAAGAATGTGCTGGGGCCTGCAGCCTCTCATTAGGGCCTGGACACCCAGCTTCGTGACTCCCCATCTGCACCCTGGGCTCAGGGCCAGGAAAAGATGTTCTTTTGCAAAGCTTTCAGCCCATTGCTGGAGCACAGCTCTCCACTGGGTGTGAGAAGAAAACACTGGAACTTCTATTGCAAATTATTTTTGCCTAGAAAAGAGGATATTTCATATTTAATGTATAGATAATAGATATATAAACATATAAAGTAATAAATATGAGTGTTTGGGGTTTATAAAATAAACTTTTTGATTGCTAAATCATGCATGATCAATACAGCTTGGTACCCACTGCTCTTGTGATTGGGAGGGTTGGCACTTGAGAAGGAGACAGGGTGGTGACAGAAGAGGTGGTCCTGAAGCCCCTGGCTCTCTCTTGGTGCTGGGCCAAGGAACGGTTGATTAATAGGGGGGTATGGTTAATGTGAGGAGGGAATAAGCTGGGTGGGGTGGAGGATCTCAGTTCCGGATCAGAGTTCCCAAGGCCCAAAAGCCCCCTCGCAGGGGCCAGGCCAGCTCTTATGAAACGATGGTCTAGTGCCTACTGGGATCCTACCTTCTTATCCTTGTGTAGCAAATTCTTCATCTCCACGAATGCCCCCATCAGTCATATCATTATTTTTAGTTTACAATTGTTGAGTTTATTTTTGTGACAGTTGCTTGGCATATAAAAGCAGAGCTTAACAGTCCCATTTTACAGATCAAGAAAACAAAATAAAGAACAAATCTAGTGTCCCAGGTGGTCATGTTGTCATAGCTCACAAATGGAAAAGTCCAGAGGCTCTCAGGAGTCTGTGGTTCTTCTGGGGCTTCTCTTACCAGCTTGTGGGTCCCCTTGGCTCTGTTCTTTCTTGGGCGTGGCCCTTTCAGCCAGACATTAGGACTACGCCTGAGAGAGGAAGACAGAAATGTGAGGGGCTATTGACATGAGATTTGGAAGCGGGAATACTTACGGCCCCAGAGAAAGATACTTCCAGGATCAAACCTGGGGACCTTGGTCTCCTGAGGCCCTGGGGTTTGGCTTGTTGGGAAGGAAGGTGCAGAGCATTTTCATCTAGGAAGTTTTTTTCCACCCAAAGGGCAGCATTGCGGGAATGACCCATCTTTGAGGGACTTGCAAAGGGCGGCTGAGTGTTCAGCAACTGGTCAAAGAGTGGCCCAGATAGAGGCTGGACTCAGTCACTCAGATGCTGGTGATGAACTGAGTGATCAGCTCATGTCATTTGTCATTCTATGAACCTCGTTGACCTCAACTTTGAGGAACACAAATCCTCCTGGTGGCCCGGTGTGTTGGAAGCTGCTCGTTGATGGGTTGGGTCATAAGGAGTGAAGACTCCAGTGAGGCTAACACCAAAGCTCAGGGCCCAGTGGAGTCCTGAGAACCCCCAAGGAGGCTCTTCCCATTTCCGCCGCCTCTAAGTGCAGGGCTTACCAGAATTCAAAGCTGGAAAGGACCACTGCAGTCATCTTCTCCCTCATGTCACCCATGAGGGTCCAAGGGCCCAGAGTGGGCAGGGACTCAGCCGGGGTCCCTGGGTCGCTCGAAGACTTCTCTTCCCGGGCACACTCCCAGGTGCTGGGGCCGCCTTCTACTCAGTGCTGGCTCTTGTTCTGGGCACTTTGTCAAAGCCAGAGCCTCCCCCATGACTGTGTCTCCCTCTGAGGCAATGTTTCCAAATTCAGGGTCCCCAGAGGCAGCAACTATGTGAGACTGGCAGCCCCAGAGCTCTTTGCAGCTTGCAGCCCACACCAATTAGAAATCAACTCGATGAGGCCTTCTGCTGAGCTCTGTTCACATACAGGGCTGGGGAACCTGGGGCTCAGCAGACTTGGGAGCCTGTCCTTTTCCCCTGGCCTCACCTCTGCCCCCAGTCCTCCTGCCTGGCTTGTCCCATCATAAGTGTCCCAGAGTCTGGGTGGTGGGAGATTCAGGATTCCTTCCCCAGACACGCATCATCAAGCATGGAGGACTCTGGCAGCTGCTCTTTTCCTAAGCCCAGTTTTCCCAGCAGCTCCTCCAGGCATGGCCTCTCCCTAGCTTTGAACAAATCCCTTTCCTCCTCTGGGTCTCAATTTCCTTATCTATAAGAAATGGATAATAATAACAACTACATTATGTAAGCACCCTGTTGAAGTTCAGTGCCCTGGGTCATGTCTGGCTAAGAGAAATCTGTCTATACATAACTAGTGACAGCTAGCATCTACTGAGTACATGATAACAATCGTTAGCGTTTCTGAAACACTTACTATGTTCTAGACACTGTGCCAAGCACTCTAAGGCTAATACCTCATTGCAGCCTCACATCAACCCCAATAAGATAAGTACTATTATTAGCCTCATTTTCCAGATGGGGAAACTGAGTGCAGAGAAGGAACTTAACTCACTTAATTTCATGCAGCCAGTAAATGGGAAAGCAGTCTGGCATTTAAATATTAAGCTATACTGCCTATGCTCTTTTGCAATACTCTTATGCATACTAGCATACACATATATATGCACACATGCACACACACACACACACACACAAATATATTACTATTAAGTTAAAAATAAATAAAAGAGTTGATGTAAAAGTCTAGGAGAATCATTTAGTTTACAACATTTCAGTTACTTGGGTGGGAGTTACCCTGGCTGGGATATAAGGGGAAGGCACATAGGATAATTATGGGTGTAGTATTGGCCAAACAGTGTGGCCAACACTGTCCCAGGCAGGCCTCTTAGTAGTGGGGGAGGCTTTTGGTCTCTCCTTCTGACCTGTTCCCAACAGGGAGTTTCTCCTGAAGTTGTGTCTCAGCCACACCCTCTTCCCAGGCCTCCTCATCCACCCCATGATGTCCTGGCCTCTGAGGTCAGGTCAGCCCGCAGCAGAACAGGTGCCAGCTGAGGCTGGCTGAGATTCAGAAAGCTGGTGGCTGGGTCCCAGCCAGCTCCTCTCTGGGCTGAGCCGTGGTCAGCAGGACTATGCCCCTGGTGCTCATGGCCAGCGAGAGCCTGGATGGGAGAGCAGAGGGCTGAGTGGCTTCTCCCAGGTAGAGCTTTGGGGTGCCAGGAGCATTTCTGGGTGCAGAGCAAAAGGGGGGTGTCTAAAGCGCTGGGCAGCTGGAGCTGGAAGCTGATGTTTAGAGCTTCTTTCTGCGTCCTTCCCTGGTCCTCTCCACAATAAGCAGCCTTTATCCCCCCGCGACCTTACCCCGCCTCTCTACCTTCATTGCTCATGGAAGCTCCATCTCTCTCTCCATAGGGATGAGCTCTTAGTGTGGGAGACAGATACAACTTTCTTCTGTGAAACAGCCGAAACTGTGGGGCAGGGTTTGGTGCATTTTCCACGTTTGCTGCTTCTTGGCTGTGTGAGCTTGCTTCATGATCGCTCAGCCACTGGCCTCGCACTTCTGAGAGCTGAGGTCATGGAACTCTCCAGCCCGGCACCCCCGTAGGGTCACTGTCATGTTCAGACCTATGCAATGATGTATTCGCTAGGCTCTGTAAATAATTGGGCACCACGTTGGTTATTTCCTTTTCTAGACTACTGGGAAGATTTCTGAGTTAGAGAGAAGATCAAGACTTTGAACCATAAATTACTAGATCTGGAAAGGGCCTCAGAAAATGTTGGGGCCAAACACTGTTTTACAGAGAAAGAACTTAGGAATCAAGAGAGGTGAATTGATTTGGCCCAATCGCCCAGTGAGTTCCTGGCACAAGGCAGCCCAGAACGAAGGGCCCTGCCTCGCTAGCTGGTGTGGGTCTCCATCCGCCTGTTGGTGTCTGCTCTGGGACTGAGGGGTTCGGGCTTTTACAGGCAGGCGGGGAAAGGAGCTCTTAGAGTGCTGCAGAGAAGAGGAGAACACGAAGGGAGCAATAGTAGCTTCGAAGTCCTAAACCCGGCTACCTGCCGCGGGAAACAGGGCTGCGTGCGTGTATCTGGGGGAGTCTTGGCACAGGCACAAGTGCGTCTCTTCTGTGTTCTGTGCACATCGTGTCTGAGGTCTCTGTAAACAGACCTTAAAAGATTTTGGCTTCCCTCTGCGGCTACACTCCTGGTGGCCACCAGAGGGCAGTGTGGCGCACGAGACGGTCCTGGGCTGATGGCTTCCCAGGGCGGGAGCCGGGCGTGTGGCGCTAGCCTGGTGAGAAGTGCACTGTCAGCCCTGGCTTTCAGAGCATTTCCTGAGCCAGGGCTGAGCAGAGAGGTCAGCTCTCCTCTATGAGGGGCATCTCTCCGCCGAGATGACCCTGCTTCCATTGTATCTCTGCAGTCCAGGGATGTGAGACTCCAGGACCCGGACTTTCTGACTCATGAGCCTTTGGCTTCCTGGGAAGGAGGTGGCTGGGCGAGTGCATTGGATGGAGGAAAGCCACCTGGTGTGCTCTCCTTCCAGCCTTCTCTCAGCAGCAGCAGGAGAGATCAGCACATTTGCACAGAGGGTAATGGGGTGAATGCATGGAAGGTAGCCCAGGAAGACCCACAGGCTTAATAGAGAAGTTGACAGATAGTTTCACTGTGGGGCTAGTATCATGGAGGAAGCGAGCTTTATACAGGCTCTCAGGCTGTCTGATGCCCTGGCTGAAGTGTGGGGGAATCTCTCCCCTCTCCCTGCCCCCACCAACCCAAGCTTGGAAATTACCGGACGACAAGTAGTGCTCAGAAAATAGCAGGTCCTGGCATTGACTAGAGATGAGAGCTTGGCGCCTTCTCTTAACCTCTGCAGATCCCGTGTCTGCTTTAGGAGATAACCATACACAGAGGTGGCTACGAAAGTGCCTTGCAAACCAGGGCCATGGGCCCTGCCTGGACTGGCTGGTTTTGACAGTGCTTCTGAGAGTATCGTTGGCTCGTCTGTCTGTTCCAGGCAGTCTTGTATTTGAGCAGGTGCTGTCTTGTTCCATGCACAAATGAGTGTCCTCCTACTAACAAGGTTATCAGCTTTAGAGACAGGGTCTGCTGCTTTTGGGGTGGGTGTGGAGCTCTCTGGTCTGGGGCCTGTGACTCTTTCTTGAGGGTCTGCTCCCAGCTTCCTGACCTGGGGCTGCAGGCAGTGTTCTCTCTGTTGTGGTCCATCTTTCCCCACTTCCTTATTTCTGATAGCTTTTCAAATCTGGTCCACTGAAGAGAAGGAAAGAAGCTGACATTATCCCTTCTACTGGGCCAGAGATCATTTACATATACAACCCTAATTATTTATGGCAACGACTAAATGAAGCTTTAGATCATGACTCTGCCTCTTACATCCTGAGACCCTGGGCTGGCTACTTGACCTTGTTGATCCTCAGTTTTCTCATATGAAAATAATAAACATAAGGCAGGACTATTATAAGATTTCAATGAGCACGTGTGTGTGTGTGTGTGTAAAACTATTTTCTCTGTCTTCCTATTACTACACCCCAGAACCTCATCCCCACAAGCATAGATACTTTTTATAGCCCTCATCTGTTCTTCTTGCTTCCAGTCTCTCCGCCTCTAGCTCATTTTCCACACCCTAACAGATTAATCTTCTAATCCAGGGTATTTGGTTAGACCAATTCCTGCATCCCGAACTTTTCATGGTCCCTTTGTCTGAGAGGTGGCATGGTGTAGTGGGAAGAGTAGAGGCTTCTTTGGTCAAAAAACTCAGTTTAAATCCTGGCTCTGCCCTGGTATAGGCTTAGGCACATTACTTAACTTTTCTGAGCCTCAGTTTCCTCATCTGAAAAATCTGGTTAGCTATACCCATCTAATAGAGAGGTTGTGAGGGTTGAATGAGATTATGGTAGGTGCCTGGCATGTGATGGCTCCACAGAAGCCAAGCTGGTGAGCAGTCCACAGGAGTCTGTAAGAGGTGATGGGCAGTGACATTTCCAGGTCCTTGAAGAATGGGATTAGAGGAAGTTGCATGAGGGAACTAGCATGTGGACAAAGCTGACGGAGGCAAGAGAAGGACTAAGATGGCATGTATTTGGAAAAAGGGACACAGTGGCTGAGGTACATGCCTTCCACAGGGACAGGGAGATTGTTATGGCTCCTGCTAAGGGACTCCTTTGGAATACCAAGTGTCAGAGTGTCCCAGGCAAAGCCTTTAACTACCTGCCTTCCCCACTCTGCAGCCCCAGAAATCTGGATGCCAGAAATCTCTATCTAGGGTAATTTAGTAGCATCTAGCTTCTTGCAGATGTTGTCCCAAGTGGTTTTATTGCTATTCTTGCCTTACATAGCTTCCCATTCACTAGCTGATTCCCTCTTGGCTATTGTAATCCAATAAGTCTGTCTGAAGAGGGGGCTTCAGGACCATCCCTGGTAGAAAGAATTTAGGAATCCAATGGGATAGGATGACCTAAAATCCTTTCAATCCACTCATGAGAGCCTCCCATGGACATTCATCCCAGTTCCATATAAAGCCACAAGAGGGCACTAGACCATGATTTCTGCAGGGAGGGAAGGGCTGTTGAGCCTGTCCTGATGTGATTTGTACCTTTGATGAAAGTCTGAGCCCCACTTGGTTTTTTCCCAGGTGCCATCTTCTCTGGGGTCATGGCAAACCAGCTTGATTCAGCCAGAGCCCATAGCACTGAGACTGATAGCTCAAGGGAGGCTAAATTGTGTAGTAAAAAGGTCATGGAATTTGGCATCTGTCTCAGGTTCCAATCCTTGCCCTCCTCCTTGCTTGCTTTTTTAAACTGTGAGCACGTTATTTAATTTTTCTCTGCCTCATTTTCTTCCCCTGCAAAGTAAGATGTTATTGGGAGAGTTGCTATGAGATGGTGTTGTGAGGATTAAAATACATGATGTGGGGACAGCATCTGGAACATGATAGAACAGCATCTGGAGCAGCATCTGGAACATGGTTGGCCATCTATCTCTTTCTGGGAGAAATATGAAGTTAGGTCACACCCAGGAGATATGTATGAGATCCCCTTGGCCTGCTGGGGTCATTTTACCCCCTACTGAACGCTCTATGGTTCCAATTCATGGGGGGGCAGCAGTGACACCCAGTGGCTGGCATGGAGAACAGCAAGTGTATTCTGATCTTGCAGGTGGTGTGGTGGGGATTGTCCAGGCCAGGTCAGACTGAGTCAGGGTTAGTGGATATTGGCTTCAGAGGTTTCATTAGCAGAATTTCTCCCCTTCAACTGCTAGGTGCTAAAGATATTTTTTTTCTGAGGGCATTCATGTGATGATGGCTATTAGGGATGTTTCTTGCTGGGGCCCACAGTACGAAGTCACAACTGGAGAAACCACATGGGCAACTGACTAAGTTGATTGTGATGAAACAATCCTGGCACCTAAAAACCAGAGCCTTTCTGGTGTTTTCCTGGGGCACCACTCTTTTTGACATGCTTTCATACAGTCTATCTGGTTGGCCTTAGCCAAGAGACTCCAGATCTCTGAACCTCAGTTTGTTTACCTGGGAAATGTAGGGGTTGGTCTGGTTGACAAAAAAGCCTCTTTTAGCTTAAATTTGAGTGTCAGACATGATTGAATACCTTTTGCTCAGTGTGTGTGTGTGTGTGTGTGTGTGTGTGTGTGTGTGTGTGCATGCTATGGGGGATGGGATCAAGTGAGAAGCAGGGGTAGGGGTCACTGCTAAGCTTTGGGCTTTACTGGTGAAGAAACTCCAGCCTCCTCTCAGCAGAGGAGTAGCTCTGAGGCTGGTTTGGGGTGACCCTGGCTCTCATCCTTGCAGCCTCTTCATTTCTCCACCTGAGATCCAGGAGGGAGCGTTGGCAGACGGGCCAGGCTCAGGAAGTTATTTAATATCAGCTTTGCTCCAGATTGTGTTTCTGACTCCCTGCCACCTCTTAAGTGGCAGTCATTTGAACAAATGTGGCGATAAGACACAGAGAGGGAAATAACATAAGAAGTGGGGAGGGGGCAAGGGCGTGGAGGAGGGGTGCAATTTTATTCTCTTGGCAGAAACCTTGTCTTTGAGGCACTCAGGAGCAAGAAAGAAATGGAAGAGGAGTTCAGCTCAGGGCTCCTCAAAGTCCCTGGTGTTGAAGGAAGAGGGTGGAAAGAAGGGCCTAATTTTTAGGGCCTGCAGCTGCAGCTCCTCCTCCTCCGTGGGAGGGCCCTATGGCCTATGGGGACTTCTGGCTCCCATCCCTAGGGCAGGTGTTGGAGGGGCGGCCTCATATTCTGTTTTCCAAAGGACTGTCTTCCAAGTGCATAACAGACAGCTAATGGGGGCCTGGCATTGGCGGTGTGTGCAGCCCACAGTGAATGCTGAGCTGCATCTGTACCTAGGCTGTGGGGTGCCCAGGTGTCTGGCCGCCTGCCTTGCTGTTTGCCAAAGCCCATCCTAGCATCTGGACTGTTGGGGAAGAATGAGCAGATGCGCTAGCAGGGCCAGCCTGGCTCTTCCTTCTGTGGGACCCAAAGAGGAGGAGAGTCTACCCCCTTTCATCCTAGCGCCTAGCACCAGCTGTGGGCCAGACCCATGCTGAGCCCTGGGGCACAGCCTTGACAAAATAAAAGACCGTGATACTTCCTTCTTGGAGCTACAGGTGAATGGAGGGAGGCAGGTATTAGACAAATGATCTACAGCTCAAAGGGTTATCTCAAGAGAAGCGGGGGCAGAATTTTAGAAAACGGATCTAATGTAAAGTTTAAAGAAAAATTTATATATATGAAAATGTGGCTTCCCTAAGGTGGAGAGGGTGCAATTTTCCTAAATGGAGTTTTGAAAATTCTAGATTTACCTGCTCCCAGGTGTACTGAATGTGATAACAGTAGAGTGAGTTGTCAAGACTGTGCCCCCTGGCTGGGAAGTTGATTCATTGGCCTTGCTGTTGCTCACAGAGGCCCCACGCGGAAAGGCAAGAGAAGCGAGTTTCATTTCTTTCCCTGTCACTCTGCCTGTGTGAGATGAAGATTTGGGCTGTGGGTAGTTTATTTGGAAGGTGACCCCAGGAAGCCTGGGAGGGAGAGCGGAAGTGAGACAGGGAGGGAGGAAAGCCACGCATCAGTGTGTCCATGCGCAGGTGGCTACGTGCTCTTCCCAGGCAACCGTTCATTCGTTTCTCTATTTGTGCATTTATCCAACGTGGGTTTATTGGAGAGTCTCTGATGGGCCAGCCACTTGGGAGAGCTGGGAAAGCCGTGGAGAGCAGGACCCCTGAGGTCTCCATTGTCCCTAGGTCTCCATTGTCGTTCTAGGATGTGTGCAGCCGAGCAGCAACTCTCCTGGCCTCTCCCTGCACCTGGAAATCGACCTCTGGAGAGGGGAGGTGGGCCAAGCTTTGCTGAGAGTGCACGGCAGATTCCGTCCATTCCCGGGGCCATGTTCTCGGCAGAAAAGTCAGAGGGCTGTGGATATAGGGCAGCCCTTCTCCCCAGTGCGCTGGGTGGAGGTGAGCCTGGGTGAGGCGAGGTGCAGGTCAGATGAAGAGAGTAGCTCCACGTGGTATTGAAGGGTAGCCCCGCTTCCTGCTCCCAGCACCCAGCTGGCATTCTGCCCAACCAGCGGCTGACCTGCCCCATGCCCCCTGCTCCTAGGTGAGACTGACCAGGGCACACCCTCCCTCCTCCTTTCCAGCCCAGAGCAGCTCCCTGGGCCCTGGGGAAGCAGAAGTGGCAGGAGAGTGACCTCATGACTCCCTGATTTGCATCTAGGGTTCATTTTCCGGGGTCATGTTCTGTCTCCCTGGAAATGATTGGTTGCTCTTCCCTGCGCCCATCACCCCCATCCCTGAGCTGCAGGCTGTGTCTCCCATCCAGGTGACTGACATCCCCCTGCCCTCCTTCTGTCACTCACTCAGGACTGCTGTTGCCTGCTGTCTGGGCAGGCATGCTCTGACCTTGAGGCCCCACCCTGCTGCCCTCTACTGCCCTCTATGTTCTTACCTGCCCAGGAGGTCACTGAACAGAAGAGGGCGGCACAGCTAGTGTCTCAGTCCAGCTGACACCCTCGGGAGCCCCACGATGTGTCCTATATGGCATTAGCTTGTTAATGTTCCTGTTTCCTCACTGTGTGGTGAGCTCCTGAAGGCTGGCATTGAGGCTTATTCAGCTCTGTCCCCAAGAGCCCCCACCTAGTAGGTGTTCAGTAAAGACCTGTGGACTGTAACAGGCTCATTTCCTGCACCAGAATGTCCCCCAGGCCCACAGCAACCCTCCCAGCTTGCTGAGGGCACACATGCCTCCATGCAGAATGCTGGGCACACCATTCTCATTGCTCTCCACACCTTTGTGGGCCTCGGGCTTTGCCCTTAGCAGGGCAGCCCGTTGGAGGAATCTTCTAGAGAAAACTGAGCTCATCACAGTGACAGCAAATGCTGTGTGATGACTGCTCTGGGGGCTCCTTTAAGGGGACTTTTATTTTAACCCGCTTCCATTCTCAGCACAGTGACATGGCAGGTCCCACGATCATCCTCATTTTACAGGGGAGAAAACTGAGGCACAGGGTGGCTAAGTAGCTTGCCCTAGGTGGTTCTGCTAGGAAGTGGCAGAGCTGAGGTTTGTCTCCAGAGCCAGGGGGGCAGCCCTGTATTACAGACCCCTTTCCATTTCCTGCCAGCCCCAGCCTCCTCCACAGTAAGCAGGCACCCTTGGGCCGACAGGACACATGACGTGCTGTTTTGGTGGTAAGGAGGGTGGGGTAGAAGGGGCCCTTGGGACTCAGTGGAGTTTGAGATCCTTGAGTTTCATGGACACAGGTGTTTTTGGCCACATCCTCACAGAATGTCCCCTGCGTCAGGGCAGGATGGGGCTGGCCTGTGTCCCATCACTGCCACAGTTTATCGGGTGTGTCGGGATCGGGCATTGTTGTCTCTAAGGTCTCAGTTTTCTTATATTTAAAATCAGGGGGCTGGACTAGGTGATCTTTGAGATCCCTTCCAGCTCTGACTTGTGATGTTTCTATGGCGGTGGCTGGGGACGGGATGGGAAAGTAGGGGAGCCATACAGATGCAGCAGCCCTGGGTTTCTCTGGGGGCAATCCTGTGGGGGAGGGGAGGGGGGCTGTGCTCCTGCACACAGGTGCGTGGGAACCTTGTTCCTGTGTGTGTGTGTGTGTGTGTCTGTGTGTGTCGCTGTGTGTGTATATGTGTGTTCTGGAGACCAGACCCTGTGAGTTATTAAGCTTTGGCGTGCATGCGCATCACCGAGGGCTGTTAAAACACCGACCGCTGGGCCCCACCCCAGAGTTTCTGATTCCGAAGTTTGGCTGTCAGGCCTGAGAATTCGCATCGAGTCCAGGACCACACTTTGAGAGTGACTGTTGATATTGATGGCTTTCACACTGTACTCCCTGGAGTGAGATCAGAGGCGGGGTGGTATTCTGCATAACATTTTTATGAATAAGATTTCCTAGACTGCAAAAAGCCTGCATCCTTCCATTCTTGAAGAATACCAGCCCACTCCCAAGCACATTCTGCCAGGCCTTGTCCTGGTGCTTGGTTCTCTGTCTGTTTCTCTCTCCCCTCTTCTCTCTGCACCCCTGATGTGGTGCCTGGTTCTCTCCTGACTTTGGCCCCATGCTGACCTTTCCCTAAGGGCTGGACTTGACCTGAACCTGCCTTGACCTGCGTGATCCAACCTGTAGTTGAGAGATGAAAACACACTTGTTACAGAATGCCATTCCAGACTCAAGTGGATTTGTAAAAATGATCTGGGAGGTAGAGTAAGTCATTGTGTGACTGCGCCTCAAGAACCTTACTTGGCTCCCACTTGCCCCCAAGGTGTAGTTGAGACTTCTCTCTGTGGCACTCAGAGCTGTTCATGTTCAGGCTGCAGCTCCTCTTTGGAGTCCTGCCTCTCGTTATTCCCCATGGGAATCCTCTGCCCCAGTGAGCTGATCTGCTGTTCATTCCTCAAACATTCTCAGCATTGTTCACTCTCAGTCTCGTGATCCGGCCACTTCCCCTGCCTGGAGGGCTTCTGGCCTCCAGTTTGCTTATCTGGGCCCTCCCTGTCACTCCAGTCCCACCTTTGAGAGGTTCTTTGTTGCCCAGACCCATGTTTGTGGATTATTTTATCTTTCCACTTCCTGGAGCTCATAGTGCTAGCAGCTGCTGTGTGTTAAGCACTGTATTCAGGCCTGGCAGTGTATATAGTCACTCATTTAATCCGCACAGCCACTGTCTGAGTGGAGAACTGCTCTCGTCTGACAGATGAGGAAATGGAGACCAAAAGATGCAAGAGCTTGTCTAAGGCCACAGCGGTAAATAACAGTGAGGATTCCAGCCCAGGCTGACTCCAGAGCCCATGTTCCCATGTTTATTGCAGAAGTGTGTGCAAGAGCAAAACAACTGGAAACAAGCTGAAATGTTATCAGGAGGCATTTGAATCAAGAGCTGAATCACGGCATAGTGAGATGATGAAATCCTGTACAGCAGTTTCAGTGAAAACCTTGTTCTCTGTGTGGTAACATGGCTATATTTTGAAAACATAATGCTGGTGAAAAATATAATAAGTTGCAGAGTGACATACCATATATACACGTTAAACATCACAATGACCGATATAATACGTTGTTTATAGACAGAAAGATAAAATCGTGGGCTGAATACAAACCAATTTCGTGACAGTCTTGGCCTCTAGGGAGAGAGGGAGAGAGGAAAAGAAGGGTATGTACAGGGCTCTTAACTTTACCTGTAATGTTTATATTCTGTCTTTTTTTAAAGATCTTGGCATTTGACCCAATGGTAATGTGTATTAATTCCAGGTGATGAGTAGATAAAATATTCAATACAAGATCCTTTGTTTTTTCTTTATTATAATGAAACTTTAGAAGCCCTAAGCGATAAAAAGATTATTATACCCACTAGATTTATGATTTAAAATAAAAACAATATTAAAATCCTCATATTTCTTGGCTGGGGCTGCCATAAGAAGGTCTCACAGACTGGGTGGCTTAAAAAGCATATGTTTGTTTTTTATGGTTCCGGAGGCTGGAAGTCCAAGATGAAGGTGTTGGCAGGGTTGGTTTCTTCTGAGGCCTCCCTCCATGGCTTGCAGACGGTCGCCTTCTCACTGTATCTTTACATGGTCTTCTCTCTGTGTGTGTGTGCCTGTGTCCTAATCTCCTCTTCTTATAAGGACACCAGTCATTTTGAATTAGGGCTACCCCAATCACCTCATTTAAACTTAATTACTTCTTTAAAGACCCTATCTCCAAATACAGTTACATTCCGAGGTACTGGGGGTTAGGACTTCAACAAAGGAATTTTGAGGGGAACACAAAAATATTATAACAATCATAAAACAAAAAAATGCATACCTGATGAAATTTAAAGCACCATTTTTAGATTTTCTGAGTGCAGAATTCTGTGGAAGTTCATCAAGGCTGATTTTTTTTTTCTCATTTTATTTTGGTGTGTCTTGTTGCGAATGCCCAAAGTGTCTGCTTAGTCGGTCATGTAAGCAAGAGAGCCCTGTGGAAGAAGTTGCACGGTCTTAGGTGGAATAGAGGTGGATAAAGGGAAGGACACACGCAAGCAAGTGCAACATCTGAGAAGGGTCCACAGGACAGTTCTGTGTTTTAAATTTAGATCTCAGGTGTAAATAAGCAAAACAACTCATATATAAAGTGCATGATTTCTAGCTCTCTTATGAATTAATTAACTAATTATTTCAACAGCTACCAGTGAGCACCACACTTGTGTCAGTAACCATGTTAGGCATCCCTCCACCCCCACACAATGACAACGGGCTGGGACCTTCAGCTCTGGGGATGTGGTTTAGCAGTAAGAAAGAACTTCCCAAAACAATGGGTCACAAAATAGGGCTATGGAATTGTTTTCTTTGGGACATGTAAATACATAGGATCCCTCCCATCCCATCATTTTATTATGCAAATCCTCAAACATACAGAGAAGTTGAAAATTTTGCTGTGAACATCCATAAAACTACGCCCTAGACTCTGCAATTAATATGGCACTCTACTTCTTTATCACATCCTCTATCCATCTGTCCAGCCCTCTATCCACTCCTTAACCCATCCTATTTTTCTGATGCATTTCAGAGTAAATTTTAGATGTTGGCATGCTCCCTCTACATACTTCAGCATGTATGTCATAAAATTAGACTTCGATTCTTTTTCACTTTTTGAGCTAATATTTATATTTAATGAAATGCGTTACTCTTAAGTGTGCATTCTCTGAGTTTTGACAGATGCGCACGCCTGTGGGACCCAAACCCAGTGAGAGACAGAACATTACCATCCCCCAGAAAGTTCCCCACATTCTTCCCAGTCAGCATCTGCCATTGCCTCCCCAGGGGGAGCCACTGTTTGGGAGATTTTTCTTTTCTTTTCTTTTTGTTATCTACTTTTGAGAGTAGTGTTTTTTTTTTTTTTTTTTTTTAATTTTGGTAGCTTTTGGAGTACAAGTTGTTTTTGGTTTCATGGGCGAATTTATAGTGTGAACTTGTAGAGATTTGTACCCAATATGTAGTTTTTTTTTTTTAATCCCTTCCTCCCTTCCGTCCTTCCCCTTCTGAGTCTCCAAAGTCCATTATATCCCTCTGTATGTCTTTGCAACTTCATAGCTTAGCTCCCGTGTTGGTATTTTTCTTCTCTTTTCTTTTTTACAATTTTTTTTTTTTTTTTTTTTTTTTTAATAATAGAGGCTGGAGTCTCACTTTGTTGCTCAGGCTGGTCTTGAACTCCTGGCCCTAAGTGATCCTCCTGACTCAGTCTCCCAAAGTGCTGGGATTACAGGCATGAGCCACAGTGCCCAGCCTGTTTTGGGCTTTTTCACAATAGATGACTTTTCCTTCTTCTACAGCTTCATAGAAATGGAATCATATAATATCTGTTTGTCAAAAATGTTTGTGAGATTCATCCACATTGTTACAGATATCAGTGTTTGGTTCCTTTTTATTGCTAAGTGATATTACATTGTATGGGTAACCTGAATTTATCTGTTCTCTTGTTTTTGGTTGTTTCTAGTTTTGGAGTATTATGGATAAATCTGCTATGAACATTCTTGTACAAGCCTTTTTGTGAACGTAGGCTTTCATTTCTCTTGGGTCATTCCCCAGGAGTGAAATTTCTGGGATGTCTGATAAATTTATGTTTAACTTTATAAGATACTGCCTGACCTTTTTCCGAAGTGGTTGTAACAGTTTACACTCTAGGACTGTTTTTGATTAATCTGGGTTAGGAGAGACACATTTATGTGACTCATCGAAACAGGACCTTGTATCTTTGCCTTGCAGAGGAAGAAATTGAGGGGAAGAAGGGTGGCGTCACTTGTTCAAGGTCATCCAACTGGTAGGTGGCAGAGCTGGGATCCTGTTTGACTCAAAGCCCCAGGGGGGTTCCTGTTGTGGTGCACAGCTTCTTGCTGCTTTTTGCAGAGGAGTGAAGCAGGCAGAAAACAGATGACTGACTTCTCAAGGGCACCTTCTGGGGTCCTCAGCCCAAGGACATCCCCCTAGGGTCCTCTCAGAGCTCCCTTCTTCTCTGTGACACTGTGGAAGCCAGGGCCTGGTGGGCATTTGGTGCTCTTTAGCAGGGCTGGGTCGTTTCCTTGGGGTTCTCCATCCACCCCAGTTGTGCTGCTCCTCCCAGGGGCCCAGGCTGAGTCTCATGTGCAAGGGATAGATGAATGCCACTCGAAGAGGGCCTGGTCCCACCAGAAAGGCAACTCCCCTGGGCTTGTGTCTCTCTCCCACAATGGTTTAGCTGCGAGTCCTGCTTGCTGAGTGCTCAGATGTGGGTTCCGGGAAGGCCGAGACCAGTGAGTGTCCACTGTCTGCGGCAGGGTACTGACTGCGTGGGTCCAGCGACCAGCCCAGCCTGCCAGCTCAGAGCCTGGAGGCTATTGTGGGTAGGGTAGACAGCGACACAGGCCTTACTCATTCATGTTGGTGATTCTGTGATGTGCAAGACACAACGTTTCTGGCCTGGGACCTTACAATTCAGTGGATAGAGGCCATCCGTTGATATGCAAGCAAAGAAATCAGTACAATCATATCAGGAGTAAGAAGTTCCGTGAAGGTACTCAACAGAGTGCTCTGTTATGAGGCATGATGGGGAGGTGAGGAGGCTGCCTTTGTGTAAGGGTAGGGCGTCTGGGCTCTCGGAGAATGGATTGTCCAGCTTCGATCTGTCAGTGACAGACAGTCAGAGCTTCATGAGAACTGGAGCCAGAAGTTTCCAGGCCCAGGGCGTAGCCAGTGCAACGCCTCTCAGGTTGGAAGGGGCTGGAAGTGTGTCGGGGGCTGGATAGGAGGCCCTGGGAGCAGGGCTGAGTAGGGTGCGCTGGTGGGAGTGGGAGGTTGGAGAGGTCTGCAGGGACTAGATCAAGCAGGGTCATGCAGGCTGTGGGAAGGGGTTAGATTTTAGTCCTAGCAAAATAGGAAGTCCCAGAGGGTTTTCCTTTTAAACAAGAGATGATTCGACTTACAGCTGAAGTGATGGGTGTAATAAATGTGTTGGAGAAAGAAGCACAAGGTTGTACAGATTTCTGTGAGGGGGTGCTTAATCCAGGCTGGGCATGCAGAGAAGCTCCCCAGAGGAAGGGGCAACTGAGCTGGAACTGGAGGGATGAGCAGGCACTAGCAACATGGCGAGGGCAGAGGCGATGGAGAGCTAGTCTAGAGGAGGGAGCAGCGTGAGGAGGGCCCCTGAAGCAATGGTGTCTTTAAGAAGCTGAAGAAAGTTCATTCTGGCTGGGGAAGTCGAGAGGGGAGAGACTGTGCAGGCCCAAGGAATATGGGCTTCTTATAATGATGGCTGGTGTTTGGTCCAGCTTATCTTTGTCTTTCCAGTGTTTAGCATATGCCTTGCTATATAAATGCAGGGCTGATGCATGCATCAATCAATGAAGGAGAATGAATGAATGAAGGAAGAGAGTGCAGTCTGGAGATGTGTAGGCTATGGGAGCTTTTTGAAGGTCGAGCGGGGGGCGATGAGAGACAACCTTGGATCCTGAGAGGGGCAGATGTGATTGGACTAGGGTGCTGTCCATCGTCTCCTGACTGAAGGTCCAGGCTGCCTGGCAGGCTGGCCTGGCACAGGACGGTGACTGTGGACCTCCTTTGCCATGAGAAGAAGGCTTGGTCCCACCCGAGAGGCATCGAGGTGCATGGTGGCAGAAAGGGACTCCAGCTCAGGAATGGCACTTGCTAAAATATATTTGTTTATTCGGAGATTTAATTAACATGTTTAAATATTAAAGAGGAAACAACGCATGTCTAGTGGGACTCAACATTTACCAACAGTTCTCACTTATTTAATGATTTGTTTTCACAGCCCTGAGAGCCATGTTTCTGGCTTTGTTCTAGGGAGGCCAGAGGGAGTAGAGATTCTCTTGGACAAGGCAGGGAGGGGGAGCACTGGATGTCAGGGGAGGAGGAGCAAGGTGTAGGGAGGAAGGGGGCAGGGAAGGAAGGGAGAGTAAGGAGGACCAGGAGGAGAGGGAGGAGAGGAGAGCAGTTTTCTGAAGAGGTGGACCTCTCCAGGCAAAAGAAACCAAGACCCTGCATTTGGTTTTTGTGGAAGGAAGAGAGTTTTGGAGTTTCAGGACAGTAGGGCTAGCCTGCAAATTAAGGAGGCCTGTGGCAACTAGGAAGTCCTTGGGGGAGTCTCTGCAGCTGGGGGATTAGAGGGTCTTGGGATTTGCTCTTTCGAGGATGCTAACTGTGGTTTCAGTGTGCTAACTTTCGTGGGGTGCCACTTCTCCCCAGGATGCTTAAAGAGCCTGCAGGCTGTATGGCAGCAGCCCATTCCCTTGCCTTCACAGGGAGGGAAGGATATGGACAGATAATAAGACCCCCAGCCACCACTGCAGGTGGAACTGTGTGAAGCCAGAGGTGTTTCACAAGTGATCTGCATTATAATATCTCTGCAAATGAAGTCCTGGATACTGAGAGATTACACTGGGGGCGGGGGGGTTATTTATTGGCAATGTGCTCTACGGTTTTAATTTTTTCTTTTTGCTTATTCAGGCTTTAGCTCCAGAGGAAAATAGCCTGGGGTGGCTCCGAAATAGATTCTCTCTGCCCCATTAACTTATTCAGTGAGTTTAATGGTCCCTTCTCCCCTCAGCCTTGAAGCCATCATTAAGAGGCAGAGATTTATAAAAGCGAAGACACTGAGCTTTAGTCAAACTTTCGCTCTGGGCTGGGGGGAGGGTCTGGGTGGAGGTGCCCCCTCAGCCCTGCTGCTGTGGATACAGCCCATGAGTGGGCCCAAGACCCTCAAGACGGAAGCTGTAGGCTGGGGGATGGGTTCCTGGGTGTGTGGGGGTAGTGACATCACTCCACAAAACTCTTTAGGGTTGAATGATCCCAGCTTCTCCCAGCTCTCACAAGGCAAGAATGTTATGTTGTCACTGAAGGCCTGGAGGCTGAGTTTTCTGGGGTCCTCAGTAGGCCTCTGGGGCCTTTTCTTGGTACATCCCACTGCCCAACTCCTGGCTGCTCACTGCCTGCTTTGGTTCAGTTTACTGCAAATCAGCTCCTCAGAGGTTGCTTCATGGAGGTATTAACTTGTCAGAAGCCGGTTCCTTTCCAGCCAAGTGTCTAGAGGGCCAATTGCCCAAATGACCAATGAGCAAATGGCCAAAAGAAAAACAGCCACATTTACCAAAACTTTGATTTAAGGAATATAATTATTGAATCAAGCCAAGTTAAGCCAGTCTAATCCAGGGCTGTCCAATTCAGTGCAATCCAATTCAATCCACTTCACTTCCTCCATTATTTGAGCATCTGTGCTGTGCATAGCCAGATATTGCAGAGGGTACAGCAGAGGAATAAACTAGGTCTGGGAGCAGATTAGACAAGTGCATCTGTTCTGTAAAGGAAGATGGATGTGACAAGTGAGGTGGCGATAGAAGAGGATGCAGTGGGGTGGGGTGGGGTGGGTTTTAGGAAAACTTTGAGGATGGTGCCTATATAGGGGGGTCCCTGGCTGTACAGGTAGGACCTGGATAGAGAGGGAGGTGAGGCAGGACATTTCAGGCGGAAGGTGCAGCACACAGCCAGAGTGCCCAGTGGGGTGGGTGAAGTGCAAGATCCCCCATCACCTGGAGGTAGGGAGCATGGAGGGGCCATGAGCGGCCACAGATGAGCTGTGGGATTCACTCGGGGAGGGTCTTGAATGTTGGGCTGAGGCATCTGTACCTTATCCGGTTAGTGACTGGAGTCACTGAAAATCTAGGAAGACAATCTTAAAGAAAGTTCAAATGGCTCAAAAAAAATTTAAGTATCTTTGTTAATGGAAAATTGAAATAGTGAAAAGTAGGAGATAGAATAAGAAATCACTCAGTTCCAGCAACCAGGAAAAAATCCCCCCTACTCTGATGGATTTCCTTTCAATCTTACAGTAGGTTGATTCTATAGTAAGGTGGATACTAGAGTCACAAGGCAAAAAGTGATCTCTGAAAACTCTTTAAACCGCTCATGAGTGGACACAAGTGTGTTCACTATGAAGAACACAGGAGTGAGATCAGCTAGGGTACAGCGGGTTCAGCACCTCTCTTACACTGGTGTTGATGGATGCTCGCATTGAGTGAAATCGAGGCAGAAACACCAGCCTTTGAAACCTGGTTATTTCTCTTCTCATTTTTCCTGGGTGCATAAAGCTAAATTTGCATAGACTCAGTGTGTAGACTAAAGAAGACCATTGCATTTGTGTGTGTGTGTGTGTGTGTGTATTTACATATACTTGGGCAATTATTTTTAATCTGCGTTTCAAGAAAGAGAATCTGAAAGTGACACAGATTGAGGAAGAGGAGAAGCAAATAGTGGAGAAAGAAGACAGGAGGCAACTACAATAGCTCTGGATGGGTGATGTGGGTGGGGGGCAAGGGGAGCGGAGAGGAAATATATTTCAAAGCCTATACAAAAATGTTAAACAATGCTGATTTTCATGTGTTGAGTGTGAGAGTTGGAGGTGTTAAGGTGGAATAAAATGCCCAGAACTTGGGTGAGAAGGGGAACAATGCTGCCTTTAGCAGGAAATGGTTAGGGGGAGAGGTCTGTGACATCTGTTTGGAACACGTTGAGTTGATGGTGGTTATGAGAGATGAATAGCATGCAGGTTAGAAATGGTCTGGAGCAAGACATCCTCCCTCTAATCAGCAGACCCATGTTGGTTAAGTTTATCAACACAAGAAACCAGCAAGAATAGCTTGTTAAAGAAGGGGGGTCAAGACTTGGCCATGTTCTGAGAGCCCATTCTGCCATGGCTACCAGCCAGTTTTCTCCATGGGCGTCAACCAACTGGCATGTCTTCAGGAAATGGGCTTTCTCTTGTGAGAGCTTTATTAATATTGGCTTAAAAGACATTTTACCTTTGTCTTTATTTACAGGGTGGTTTTGTCTGAGCTTTGTTAATATTGGCTTAAAAGACATTTTACCTTTGTCTTTATTTACAGGGTGGTTTTGTCTTTTATGTTTCCTCTCCCCATCCCCACTCTTCTCACCAGGTCTGTAGGTAGAATCGGGCCTCTGTATCCCAGAACAGGTATACTGCAAGCTAATAGGAGAAGGCAAGAAGATTGGTTGGTACATGATTATTAATAATAATGAGAAAAATTAAAATGATTAAAATTAAAATTGATGGCTTTTCAAAATAACTTTTTACTCTTCTTTGAGGAAAGCTGGCCAGATTTTTTTGTTCCATTTTACAGAGAAGGCAATGACTTTTCCAAGATCTACCTGCCTGTTAGGGGGCAAACAGGGCCCTTCTTGCAATAGTCAGCTTTCCGCGATCATGATCTCTGAATCCAAAATGAGAACATGTGCTCTGCAGAGGTGAGGATACTTGTGGGAACAACAGGTTTCCATATATGAACTTTGAGCCATCCTAGAAAATTCAGGCATCCTCTTATCCTGGTGGATGAAGTACTTATAATGGTGATGATGATGACTGACAACAATAGGAAGAAGAGCGTCACCCAAATTGGGTGCTATGTGCTGAGCACTTTTCATTCAGTGACTTTAATTTAATTTAATCACAGCTGAACAAGGTAGGTGTTATGATTCCCACTTTTTAGATGAAGAAACTGAGACAATGGAACTGAGGTCACATGGCCAAGGTCATCCAGCTAGCAACACTAACTAGATTGGAGTCCAGAGCACACGCTCACACCCCTACAAGTTACAGATGACAGTCTATGGTCTCTCTGGACTCTTTGTCCAACCTACATCTGGAGGTGGTGGGACCACCCTGTGCTACCCAGTTCTGTACAATGGCCGCATTGTGACTTGGTTAGATTTTCCAAGCCGGAACAAATGTTCCTGATGTCAGTCCAGTGAGAAATTCTGCTCCATGTTCCCTGGGCTACACTGATCCATTCATCTTGTATAAGACAACCATGTGGGGAAGTAGATAAAATATTTGTACCATTGATTGCTTTATCTCATGTGGATGGAAGGTGGGAGTGAGCAAGTGCCCATGAGCAGGTGAGGGAGGCTGCACCCACCTGTGTGCAGAGAGTGACCAGGGCAGGACCTCAGGGATGCTGGTACCCCTGGGGACATTGCCTGTTGCATCCAGATCTAACTCTGACAAGAGTTAACTGGCAGGCTCTTCTCAGGATCCCTTCTGGTGACAGACTGTGTTAGTTGCAGACCAGGGTATCTTCTTTTGGATGGGAGTGACGAAGGCATCCATCTTGAGGAGGATGTAGTCCCTCCTCACATCTTTGAAGGTTCATATGGAAGATTTAGTAAAGTGGATGGTCTTTCCAGTCATTGAGTCACTCAACAAGCTTTGGGATGTAACATGGAGAAGCAGATTGGAAAGATCCTGAGTGTAAAGATCAGGCAGATTTGATCCTAGTTCTCCTGCTCATGGGCTCTAGGATGTTGGATAAGTCATGTAACCTCTTCAAGCTTTAGTTCCTCCTGGAACCTCATCCCCCAGGGTGGTTGTTAGAGTTGAATACCATTATGTATGTAATCAGACAGGCTTGCGTTTGGCTGCAAGTAACTGAAAACTGGCTTGGTGGCTTAAACATATAGGGGTTTATTTTTCTGATGAAAATTAGACAATGGGAGATTGGCTGGTGTTGGTCCAGCACTCAGCTATGTCAAGGGTGGAGTCTCTGCCATTCTCTTAGCCTTTCTCTCATGGTTGCATGGTGGCTGCAGCCAATATGTCCTGGTGAGGGGCAGATAGGGTCAGGGAGGGGTAAGGAGTGAGCACACCAGCAAAGGAGGGAGCTCCCCAGAGGTCCCCCCACAACACTCCCACCCTTAGACTTCTGCATATGGCTCAGGCTTCAAACCTGGCCATCCCTTGTTGCCAGGGAGGCTGAGCAGATGAACATGTGGCTTTCAATCTCTATGGCAAGGTGAGGTGAAGGGGGCAGAAGCTGGAGGGGCTTCTGGGGGTGCTGCCATATCTAGAGAGCTTGTTGGCTTGCAGACCTCCAGTTCCCCTCTGTTACTGCGTGTGAGGCTTTGTGGAAGTTATTTTGAGGATCACAGTGATGACCCCAATAGACAACTATAATACAAGGGAAGAGGTGAAGAGTACTGGGGTCATGTGCTGTGGGTTTTCCTGGAGGAGGGTCTGTTTCTGCCCAGGGGAATCAGGAAGGCTGTGGTGGGATCTGAGTGGTGGGTCACAACTGACCAAGAGGAAGGGAGTTGGAAGGGGCAGCAATTACCACAGCTCCCAGAGGCTCTGAGTGCAGGTGTAGACAGATCCTTTATGCACTACAGGGTAGTATGGGGGCAAGGGGACTGATAGGATGAGACTCATGTTTCAGGAAGATTGAGCCATAACAGCCAGCCATGGATTGGAAGTAGCAGACAGCCAGGATGGGGAGATCCAGCGGGAGGTGTGGAATCTCTCCAGATGGAGGGATGAAAATCAGATATAGGAAGAGGGGGTGGGAGAGAGAAATGGCATGGAGGTCAGAGTGGCAGGATTTGAGCTGAGGGGGCATGCATGGATTCTCAGTGCTGGGATTTCCAGTGGGGAGCCCAGGAGAGAGGGGAGTGACGTGCCCAGAGATAGAGGAAGATCAGCAGGGAGTGGATATGAGAAGGAAAAGCATGATTCTGGTTTCACACATTGGGTTTAGGTTTGGCCTGGAAATCCAGAGGCAGATGTCTGCCAGCAGTTGGAGTTTCTGGGCTGGCTTGGGCATAAAAACCAGGCCTGCAGGTTAGTGAATTATGTGTCTAGAGGTGAGGGCTGAAGCCAAGGATGCCAGTGAACATGAAGAAGGGAGGAGGGCCAAGGTGAGAACCCTGTTTCCATCTGGATACAGGAGTAAGGAGAAAGGACCCACGGGAGTGAGCTAGCAAGGGGAATGCTTGGTACTGCTGCGAGGGGCATGCAGCTTCTAGGGGGAGGGTAGTGGTCAGCGACCTCAGTGGCCCAGAACTGAGGTGGGTAAAGGGGGAGGGAGGAACGGGCAGTGAGTGTTCCCCTGAGGGTTTGGTTACCAGGTGTGTTAATCTGCTGCTGCTGCCATAACGAAGTCCCACAGACTGGGTGTCTTAAACAGAAGAAGTGGATTCCTCACCGTTCTAGAGGCTGGAAGTCCAACATCAAGGAGCCAGCAGGACTGGGTTCCTCTAGGGCCTCTCTCCTTGGCTTGCAGATGGCGGCCTTCTTGCTGCCCCTTCACCTGGTCATCCTTCTGTGTGCACATGTCCCCGGTGTCTCTCTTTTCACCTGCCCACATTTCCTCTTATAAGGACCCAGTCACATTGGATTAAGGCCCATCCTAATGACCTCATTGTATCTTAATTACCTCTTTAAAGGTTCTATCTCCAAATACAGTCACACACCGAGGCTCTAGGTAGGGGCTAGGACTTCAACAAATGAATTTTATGTTGGGGGTGAGGAGTGGACAGCAGTCAGCTCCTAACACCAAGGGAAAGCTGGTGATAGGTTGGTGGGAAATGCAGCTTTTTAAGGGAAATGTGGGCACAAAGGAAGAGCCAGTGGATGGGAGAGCCTGAAGGAGCAGGAGAGACCCGACGGGGAGGATGCAGGGCATGGAGGATTTGGGAGAGAGAGAATAAGAGGTGCAAACTGAAGCTGAGATTTCCTGGAAGGCTGGGGCACCATCGTTCATCTCTGTCCACAGAGCCTCACTTTATGCTGGGTTTTGGATAAATAAAAGAAGAGCATCCTCTATCTCTGTAAAAGGAGGGAAAGTGGAAAAGGTGAATGTGCAGATGCATACATAAAGTGGAAAGAAGATGAGAGCTCAGGTCAGATGTTCTAAATCTTCTCAGTGATACTTAACCTCTCTGAGCCTCAGTTTGCTGCTCTGTAAAATGGGGCTATCACCCCTCCTTCACTGGGTGACTGAGAGGATTAAGTAAGATAATTTCTGCAAAACACTTGGCCTGGTACAATGCTAAGGGCTCTCTACAAGTTGAGTGTGATTATTGTTGTTACTTTTATTAATAATGGAACGGGACACAAGACCATGTGAGTGTGGGCCCAGGGGCAGGGGTGGGGGTTTGATGGAGATTTGCATCAGCCATAGGGGCCGTGCGGCCCAGAGATGGCTCAGTGCTCCCCCTGGTATGTCAGGATGGAGGGCAGTGGGGGCCTGAGGACAAGGAGGAGGGACTTTTGAGGCTGGACTTCCCTGGCCTCTGGAATAATTTGTGTCTGAAATTTCAGAAGCCAGACTGTTCTCTAGGAAGTGAGTGTTGGAACTGGAGACCCACCCCCATTGTGGGTCATCTCACTGCCCTTCAGTGCCTGGCCTTCCCCGGCATCTCAGGGCCACCTTGTGGACTGCTCGTGGCCTGTTTCTTATCCACTCACACCATCCAGTCGGCACTTCCTGGGATCTACCCTGAGGGATGCTCTGGTGGCTGCAACCTCTGGGGTGGAGGAGAGAGCATGTGCTGAGGGCATTGGAGGGCAGGGATGAAGGGAGAGGAACCCATGGAAGGGGTCTGCAGGGGGCAACCGGCAGGTGCTGCCCTGGGCTTAGGACTCTTGGTCCCAGAGCTAAGGACTTAGAGACGGTCTGGCTCACTCCCTGCATTCTACAGATGAGGAAACTGAGGCCTGAAAGGAAGAGGACTTGCCTGGTGTTGCACAGTGGGGACATCACAGAGTGAAGACTCCTACCATGCCTTTGACTTCACATCCAGTGTTCTCTCGACTTCCAGACTGCTTCCTGGGATCGCCCTTGTCTTGTCACCTCGGCCCTTTAGAAGGGCCATCTCTCCAGGGTCTGGGGTCTGAGCAGATCAGGGCCAGAGGCAGCAGCAGGCTGTGCATGTCTAGGTAGCGGGTGACTGCTGACTGCAGCCTATCGGACCCCCAGGAAGGGATCTGTGCCTTGTTGTTCTGGCCCTTCCTTCAATCTCCTCCCATCCCTCCTCCTGCCTGCCGTGAGGTGTGGTGTACGGGGCTGTCGGCTCCCTGAGTTTCTGGAGAGGGTTTTGGATCTGGTCTGCATGGATCTGGTTGGGAAACATCAGCACTGTCAGAAGAGGGGAAGTGGGCTGTGCCTGGCTTGTACTGATAATTGTGACCCTGCTTTGTGAATCGGAACTGTGGATGACTTAAAACAGAGATATCAAGAGAGAAGCTTCCCACGCCCTGCAGCCCTGCCCTGTCCCCCATCTTGTCTCTCTTCTTCATCTCCTGGACTCTTCATCCTCCCACTTCATTCATCTGCAGCTTGCTTTGGGAGCCTTCTCCACTCTGAACAGCATCCAGGGGTCCCTCCTACAGAAAACAGAGGGTTTTTGGGGTTTGCAGAAAGGAGGTGGGATGGGTGGCTTCTGCAGCTCTGACTGGCTGGTCTCTTTTAGGATCAGGGTAGTACAGAGGGTATAGCCCCTGCTCACCTCCACCCAGCAGAGAACCCATACCTGCTTAAGCCCAGTATTTGTGCAGAAATGTCTTCTCTCACTCAAGCAAAACCCCGACCTGCATTGGAAAGCAAACCCAGCAGCACAGGGGTAGAGATCCACTGGGGTGCCTTGACACGTCCCTTTTAGTTTCATCTTGGGCTTCTTCCCCTTTCATTATTCCTGCCATCACCCTCTGGCCCAGGGGTACACTCCGCTACCCACCACGCTGTGAGAAACATCATCTTTCCCGCAACCTCTTGGTAGTGGCTGGCATTTAAAAGAAGAGAACTTCACTAACTACTAAGGGAAAATAAAGTGGAGATCATTATAGGAAAATAAAAAGGCAAACAGGATCAAAATAGCCCACTTTGCAAGGCAAGGGACTGCAGTCCTGCACTAGTGACACCCTGCTCCCCAGGGGTTGGTTTGATTCTCCAGCTCCAGTGCCAAGAGTGAGGGCCTTGTGCACACCTCTGCCACTCTGCCTGCCTCCATGTGCCAGGATAATTTATGTAGCTGCCTCCCTAACAAGACAGGGACACCTCAAGGTCAGCAGCAGGCTGTGCCTTATCAACCCTACCTTCCCAGAGTCGCAGCACTCCTGGTAGGTACCTGGGCAGTGCGTTTCTGCTGTAGAAGCAGTGTCACAGGCCAGATAACAGCATGGGTGAGAATAATGACAGTCGTGATAGAACCTGATGACTGAAGTCTTAATAGGTTCCAGGCCCTGCTATGGACTTTATAGAGATGATCTCAGGAATAACAATGCTTATCTGAAATTCAAATTAATACTGTCATTAGCTTCATTGGACAGAAGAGGAAACTGAGGCTTAGCGGTTCATAATGTACCCAAGGTCCCCTCAGCTGGGAGGTGAAGGAGAGAGTATTTAGACCCAGCTTGTTGAGGCCCCGGAATGCAGACTGTGTGGGACTTGTCTGCACCTGCTGGGCATGTTCTTCTCATGCTGGGAAATAGCGTTCTCACGACTTGCTCTCCAGGCCTCAGACTCTGCAGGCCAACTGTTCAGCCTGTCCTAGTCTCTGCCTTTCAGATCTAGGTTCTGAGTTCTGGTGCCTGGTGCAGGGCTGGCCCCTCACCTTGCAGGGAGCATCCTGATCTGAACTTGGGGCCTCATCTTTCTCAGCCCCATGCTCACAAAGGGGCCTTCTGACACTGTATCATCCTTAGGACGAGAGGCCCAGGCCTCTTGTCTTACATTATCTGCACCAGCTCTGAGATGCAGAATCTGAGATCACACCAGATCAGACAATAGGTCTCCGGCCCCGGGCCTTCCTAGCTATGTGGGTGCTACCTTGAGTGTTGCCTGGAGGCCAACTCTGTGTCCTGTTAACTCTGCAACTCCCTCTGGTCAACAGAATGAATGCCATCTCACTGCCCTCATCTTGCTCCTAATAACACCTCCCATGCCTGGTTGTCCCTTGTCACTTTGTTCTTCTGCCTTTGGAGCACTGCCTCGGTTTCTAGCCTCTACCCTGGGCCGAACTTTCTAAGTCTTCTGCTACTACCTTGTGAATAACAATCCTGGCCAGCCAGCACTGTGCGAAGGGTTTTTAATGTGCAGTAGCCCACTGAATCCTCCTGTGGCCCAAGGAGGTAGACGGTATTATTATGCCCATTACATATATAAGGAAACACAGAGGAAGACCCCAAAAGGTTGAGTACTTTGTCCAAGACCATGGAGCGATGAAGTGGTGGCGTTGCATTGGACAGGGCTCTCTGACATGTGAATGCTGCCTCCTTACCTAGGGCTGCCCCAGGCCTGCTTCTGGCCCCTGGGCATACCCAGGCCCTGCTCCGCAGTCTCTGGCCCTTGCAAAACTCCCCACAAGCCCACCCTTGTTGCCCACGGCCTTTGCCTTCTTGTCCCTGGTGCAGTCTTCGCCTGCCAGCTGCTCCTTCTGCCTCTGAGCGTGTGGGCAGAGAGGGGCTCTGGGGAGGAAGGGAGCAATGAGGCAGCAGGGGGCACAGCTGTGACCAGCGGCCAGCCCCCTCCTCCAGCACTCACGCCTGGTGACACAGGCCACTGCGTCCTCCCGGGTGACCTGGTGTGATGCTTTGCCCTGGCCGGCTGGTCAAGGACATTCCACTCGGCTGATTTGGAAGCAGTCACTGTCCGCCCTGGGGGCCGTGTGCTGGGGGTGTTCCAGCTGGAGTGGCTGACATCTGCCTTCTGCCCAATCCCACCCGCCTCCCGAGCCCGCAGCTCTGGCTGGAGGGAGCAGGGAGGCAAGCACCTTTTCTCCCCTGCCGCCCACCCTCCTGCCAGCCCCATCGCCCCATCTCCTTCCTCTCCCTCCTCTCCCCACTTCTTGGTTTGAGCTTGGAGGGCTCTCAGCCCAGTGTGAGGCAGTCCAGAACCCCAAAAGAATCCTGCGGGTTCCTCAGGGACCCCTTGGTCTCACTTCGCCGCTGCCTGACTGCGGGATGTTCAGTGAGTCATTGAGCCTCCCTGGGCCTCGGTTTCTTAATCTGCTGTTAATAATGGTACTTGCCTCCTAGGGTGATTGTGAGAATTCCAAGTGCCTGGCACCCCACACTTCAGAAGTGGGCACTCTGGTCACAGATTATGGCCATGACCTCCAGGAAGCAGTCAATCACCTCAAAGTGCCAGGAAAGTGGCAGTTTTGTCTACTTTCACCTCACAACTGGGCAACCTAAACTTCTTGGGCAAGTCTTTGAGCTCTATGTGCCTCAGTTTCCCCACCTATGAATGGAAATCACAGGCTGTTTCACAAGATTAATGTTCTGCGTTCTGTGTGAAATGTTCTAGAAATGTGCTCCATAAACTGAAATGGATGATTAAAATGAGGGATGATATATCTTTAAAAAATATGATTGTTGTATTATTGAAAGGCAGCTTCAGGGTTAGGAACGTAAACTGTGGATCCTGCCTGAATTTGAACACTAGAGCTGCTTTTCTTGCCAGCCGTGTGACCTTGGCTAAGCCATTGAACCTGTCTCAGTTTCCTGTTCTGTAAAATGGGAATAATAACAGTACCTGCTGCATAGCCTTGTTGTGAGGTTTTAGTGTGGGTGATGTGTCAGATTCAGAACTAAGCTGGCATAAGAGTCATATATAGTTGCATGTATGTGTTACAGCTGGGCACTGGGATCTGTTCCTATGCCCGTGTCACAGAGAATCTCTGAGTTCTGACCCACGTGCATTCCAGTTAGTTGGCAAACAGTCCCTCTGTACTGCCTCACCCAACATGGGCTGCAAAGTCTGCTTTCTAGCTCATGCTTTGAGGTATGACAGGCCTTTCTAGCTCATGCTTTGAGGTATGCTTTGAGGTATGACAGGTACGTGGCCAAGAGATTCCAGTTGCATGTAAGGTGTGCAAGAAGCCCTGGTTCTGGCAGTTATCTCTGCAGTGCCGCGTAAGCTGTATTGATAAATTAATCTTATATTGTTGGGACCAAACAATCCTGTAATTTTTCTATTGTGCAGCCTAATCGGTCTCAACAGCTGTGTCATTAGTTTATGTTTGTTGTAATCTAGTCAGGCCCTTGTGAGCCATTGAACAAGCCCCCCTCCCACCTCCCCATTCACCCGTCACTACGGGACTGGCCTCAGTGCTCTTTTCCCTGGCCTGCACTCTCTGTTAAGGGGTGGCAAATTCTTTGTTTTATTTTATTTCATTTTTATTATTTAATTTTCAACATTTTATTTTTTTAAATAGAGATGAGGTTCCACCATGTTGCCCAGGCTGGTCTCAAACTCCTGGGCTCAAGGGATCCACCTGCCTCAGCCTCCCAGGTGTTGGGATTACAGGCGTGAGCCACCGCACCTGACGGTAAACTCCTTGTTGAAAAAGTAAGCATTGCATCAGGATCAGGTTATGTGGCTCTGCCCTTGGTATTCACTAGCTATTTACTTTGGTAACATGGTTAAAATTGCTGTTATTTTTCTCATCTTTATTGATGTTTTTTTCTTATGAATTTGTAATGACATCAGCAAATACCTAAGGTGAAATATTAAGTGAAGAAAAGCTAGGATTCAAGTTGTCCATCCATCATCATCTCATCCTCTAAGAATGAAGACGGGAGGAAATGCTTTCAGGCTGAAGATGGTTACCTCTGGGAGCCGTAATTGCCAGTGACTTTACTTTTCTTTATATGTTTTCAGTTTTTCCAGACTTTCCACAATACGTCTGTATTACTTTATAACCAGGAAAAGAGTAATTGAAATTAATCCGCATGAAGTCCACCAGCAATAGAGTTTCTTTCTTTCTAAAATGAAAGCATTGGACTAGATTCCCAACCCTGGCTGTGTTTCAGAATCCCCAGGAGAGTTTGTTAAAAATGCAGAGAACTGAGCCCCATTCCAGGAATTCTGAGCCTGTACTCTGGGGTTAAGCCCAAGAATCAGCATTTTTGAGACGTATCCCCTGGAGGTTCAGAGGCATCCAGGGTTTAGATCTCTGGACGGGTTGATCTCTTGGGACCTTTCTGCCATGATCACTTCCTATGGATGTGTCCTATTTCAAGTGGCTTGACTGTGGGGTGGGAATGGGGAGTCCTGTGGCCAGCATTCCTCTGGCTTGAGGGACAGATCTTTTGGACGTTCCCGCTCTCGCTGGGAAGAAGCTGGCTGCAGGTGTTTGTGGCCATGTGCAGGAAATGGCTGGCTTGAAAGCTGTGTGGGCTCCTGTGACTGCCTGGAAAGGGGCCTTCCTCTTGCCAACATTTCCCAAGAGCCTTCCAGGGCTGGGCCTCTTCTCATCTCTGACCCATTTCATTCTCACCAACTCACACAGTGGACCTTGCTCTCACTATTTTTCAGATCCGAGGCTTCCAAATTTAAGTGACTTGCTGGCGTCACACAGCTACTGAGTGGCAGAGCCTAGATTTGAACTCCCATCTGTACCTGCAAGCCCATGGCGTTTTCTCTCCAGCAGGCCCCATTGGGGGCTGACCCACAGGTCTCTGTCTTGGTGGCCTTTGAGGTTTCGGTCATTCTTCTGAGTAGGAGAGGCTAGGATTTTCCTGTGGGCCATCACCCCTCTCCGTGCCTACAGTAGGACCCCTGCCATGGGACTCCACAACCCCAAGAAATGCATGAGCGGTTGATTTGCTTGGGGGAGCTTTTTCAGGGTTCCTACATGTGGCTCAAAGCCATGGTGGTCATTGTCATCCCTGCTACTGGCATTCTTTTTCATTTCTTTATTTCATTTATTTTATTTTATCTTATTATATTTTAGTCTGCTGATTATGCCTTCTTTTAAACCCAAGCTTATTAAATTGTAGTCTGATTTACTTGGGGATTTTCTCTGGGCATTTGAAGCTCTCTCTCCTGGCAGTCGATAGCTGCATCTTTGGCTGGGCTAGCAGAAGCAAGAGAGGAGGGGGTGCGGGCATTTCTGGGTTTGGATGCAAGTTCTTCAGTGAGAGCTGTGTGACCTTGGGCAAGCCATTTTGCAGACCTTTGCTTCACCATGTGTGCAGTGGGGATAATGCTGCCCATCTCAGAGGGGTGCAGAGAGCATGGGCTGAGAGATGATGTAATGCACTCAGTGCAGGGCCTGGCACTCAGAAGTGCTCAGTGCGTGTTAGGCATCACCATCAAGATTCTTCCAGTCTTGATTTTGACCTCCACCACCCCTGGAAGCCTGGACAAGTCACCCACTTCAGGAGCTTCAGTTCCCACCAGAATGTACTGTTTTGGAAATGGAAGTGCTGGTTCACAGCTGGGCTAGTAGAAGTTTGGGTTTAGTCGACTTCATCCAGGGAGAATGACTGTTTCTTCCAGAATTTAGCTCAGTGTGAGGGAAACAGGATTGGTTCTGTCTCCTAAGGTTTTGCTTGGTTCCATTGCCAATAGGCATTGAGGCCAGGAGGCCAGCCTTCTGCCCCAAGGGTCCAGCCCTGCACAGTGAGGGACTCTGGGATGCCTCATCAGTTGCAGCATTCCAGCTGCTGGCTGGGACTTCTCCTCTTGGCCCCCGTCTGTGGGTTTCAGGGGGCTGTCAGTTTCCTAGTAGACAGCCCAGTTGTACCCAAACAGCCACACAGCTGGCTGGAGAGGATTAAACTTAATTTGCTGCAGGTCAAAAGGATTTTAGGCCCCTCCTGTCTTTTTTCATTGATTATTTTGCTTTGATATTGAAGGGGGAAGTTGGACTCTGCTAATGGGCTTCTCTCTCTGCCCAGGCGGGTGCCATCCTGCACATGTAGGTCTGCCTCAGGCCTTCCACAGCCTTTCCTTCATGCGTGCAGATTGTTGTTTACATATTTCCCACCAGTCTGTGGCCAAGAGGTCGTCTCCTGTCATTGTTGCTAGGGCTGTTGCTATGGCATCTGTCATCCAGGCTGTGTTGTGAGAGACCACGTGGGTGATGCCATGCCCCCTCCAGTACAGACGGTCCTTGGCACTGGAATGGAGGAAGGCCTTAAAGGGAATACTGGCTGGGTTTACAAACAGGTGGATTTGGATGAGAATAGAGAACTCTTAGGGCAAGGGATTCCTGAGCACTCTAAAGCTCCACCTCTCACAGGGGTTAATGCGGCATCAGGGCCTCCTGTGACCGGAGCAGATGCAGGTGCTGATCCTGGTGATGACATCATTGAGCTTTCGGGCAGCTCAGGAAATGGTGCAGGGCACAGAAGCAACAGAGTCACTTGTGCCTAGGGATAATGCTTCCCAAGGTCCCCAGGCCCTGCAGTCAGACTGTGAGCCCAAGAGTGGTGCACAGGGCTCCAGCTGACAGCATGGTGGTTAAAACTCAGAATCATCACGTCCTATGATTGAACATTGAGTGCCTTCTGTGCCCCAGCCCTTAGCAAGCATTGTCTTGAATCCCCAGGACAGGGCTAGTTGATGAGCATTATTATCCCATTTTACAGAGGAGGAAATGTAAGCTCAGAGAGATCCAGTAAGCTGTGCTGGGTCACAGTAAGCTGTGCTGGATCACAGAGCTGATAAGTGGTAGAGGCAAGGTTGACATCCCAGGCTGCCTGGCCCCATAGCCTGGGTCTTCACCAGCAACCGTAGCTGCATGGAGAAGTCTTGTTTATTTCTCTTTAGGAGGTTTTCTATGGAGGCTGCATAGAAATGTCCATCAGAGGCCTCAACATAGTGGTCTTGTTTATAGCAAAGGCAGATGCTCCCATTTCACAGACGAGAGAATCTGTGACTTGCCCAGGGACGTAGTCAGGCTAGACTAGAAATGGTTTCTTGAAGCACACCTGCATTCAACTCGGGGGAACAGAGATGTTCTGGGCCCCCACAGTGGGTCTTTAGGGAGGGTTGAGATTGCTGTTGTCCAGGTGTTCGTCCAAGACAGCGACCCCCAGAGGCGGCCTGGAGAATGGGCACAAGAGCCTTAAAAAATTGTGCTAAAACGGTGAAACCCCGTCTCTATTAAAAATACAAAAAAAATTAACCGGACGCGGTGGCGGGCGCCTGTAGTCCCAGCTACTCGGGAGGCTGAGGCAGGAGAATGGCGGGAACCCGGGAGGCGGAGCTTGCAGTGAGCCAAGATAGTGTCATTGCATTCCAGCCTGGGCGACAGAGTGAGACTCCGCCTCAAAAAAAAAAAATTGTGCTACAAAACACATAATAAAATTTACCATTCTAACCATTTTTAAGTGTACAGCTCAGCAACGTTAAGCACATCCACATTGCTGTGTAACTGGTCTCCCAAACTCTTTTCATCTTGCAAAACTGAAACTCTATGCGATTAAACAACAACTCTTCCTCATTTCCCCATTCCCCCCTCCCCTGGCAACCACCACTTTCTGTCTCTAGAAATCTGGCTGTTCTAGGTACCTCATGTAAGTGGAATCGGACAGCGTTTGTATTTTTGTGACTGGCTTGTTTCACTTAGCATAATGTCCTCAAGGTTCATCTCTACTGTAGAGTTTGTCAGAATTTTCTTCCTTTCTAAGGCTGGATAGTAGTCCATGGTGTGTATTTACCACATTTTGTTATCCATTCATCTGCGATGGATACACGGGTTACTTTAACCCTTTGATTATTGTGAACAGGGCTGCTGAGAACACGGGTATACCGTTAGTTATCTCTTTGAGACCTTTAATCTTTTTGGGCATTTACCCAGAAGTAGAGTTGTTGGACTACATGGCAATTCTTTGTTTAACTGGGGAACTACCACACTGTTTTCCTTAGTGGTTGTACCATTTTACATTACCACCAGCAGCCTAATGTCTCCACATCCTCACCAACTCTTGTTATTTTTTGTTTTTTTTAGTGTCCACCCTAGTGGTTATGAGGTGGCATCTCATGGTTTTGATGTGCATTTCCGTAATGATTAGTGATGTCAAGTATGTCTTCATGTGCTTATCGGCCATAAGAGTCATTTTTTTGAAGCTCTGTTAATGTCAAACTTCAAACCACTGAGTTCAGTTCAGTCCCTGGTACTTTGGGGTCACCACCAAATATAGTTCTTATCCTAATGGGACTTGCAGATTAAGACAAGTAGGGCCTGAGGCTATTCCACAGTCAACTGTAGCAAGGAAGGGTGAGATCAGTTCCTCAAGAGAAGGGTGGATAATAAGTTCTGGAGCTCTTGCCATGGGAGGAGGACATGCATTTGTGATGATGCTGGGCTCCCCTAAGAGGAGTGATAACCATTCCCCAGGCAGTCACCATCACCATCTTGACCCACCACAGGGGATGTGCCTCATGGAGGCCTGTTCTAGGAAGGATGGCTGGGTGGCAGGAGGAAGTTCCAGCTGCTCCACTTGGATCCAGAGACAGCTCTCCCACTGGCCATTCCTGTGTGCCCTTTGCCAAAAGGGATGGTCTCACTGCTAATTTGGGGTCGTGCAGAATCGCCTCCCTGCCATGACCAGCACGTGGCTGGGCTGGTCAGCCCCAGGGAGAGCTATTTGAGTACATTTTATTCTGTAGCTAAGTTTCCCTCCTTCTCAAGCTCCAGGCCCACAGGGGTGAGCTCTTTCTGAGCCAGGAGAAGTACCTAGGGCTGCTGTGTAGTTTTTCAGTACCCAGGATGGCCAGGATGCTGAGCCTCCGGGGCAAGATATTCCATCTGATTTCGGGAGACAGTCCTTCCTAATGCAGACCAAACTTGATATCCTAGTGGCTGTCCCTCTGAGGTCAGTGATCAACTGCTCCTGTCCTCCCTGCCCCAGTGAGCTACAACATAACAACTCGCTCTCACCCCTTATTTAATCCTGGCTTAAATGGGAGCACTATTGAGTGGGGGCACTAAGATCCCCTAGCCATGACCTTGGGCCAGACACTGTACTGGGTGCTTTGTGAACATCTTTTTGTTCAAGTCTTATGACAACCTAATGAATGTGAGAATTGCTTTCTCCAATTATAATGGGACAGCATAGGATAGAGTTTAAAAGCAGAGACCCTCTCAAATCAAGCTGCCTGGGTTCAAATTTCAGAATTGTTTTTTTCCAGGGAGAACCTGGGGAGCCTAGATCCAGGGAAAGAACAGCACAGAGAGTTATAAATCTTTGCATTCATGTTTGCATTTTTCAATTTCATATTCTTTGCATATGAAACTTCCTGTGGTTCCATATTTTAAAAGTATATATAGATGTTACCCTGGTACTGCTTTGCCCAGTGTCAATTCTCTCCCTCAAGAGAATGGACTTGCAATTCTCTCACCAGAGGTGACCAATTTTGCATTTAATTTGCAGTTTGCCCCTCTTTGTTATGCAATTGTGTTGCTAGCATTAGACCCTCTATTTCTGGATCTCTCATTCTAGAATTCTTTGGGCCTCTTCCCCCAGCTTTCCTCCCAGCCCCAGCCTGGCTCCCCTGAGCTGCCTGTTGATGCTTTTGATTTCTCTCTCAGTGGCTCCCTCCTGGCATCGCAGGACACAGTGTCTAGCACGGAACGTTTCAGGGGAGCCACGGGGAGCTCTGCGTCAACGGAGATGTAACGCTGGAATGAATGCCTACACGCAGAGTGAATATCTGCACGAGGGAGACAGTTATTGGGGCCAGGTGGGGCAGTGGGGGGCCGTGTTTGCCCTGGAGCTGGGCATGCTGCTTAGGTCCATCCCGGGTGACAGCTGCTTTCCTTCTCCAACCCCCAAGCGTGATGCTCCGTTTGAACTGGGATTTGTCAAGGAAGCCGTGAACAAACCGGGATGTTTTTCCTCTGATGAATTGCCATTGCCAAATTTTGGAGTTACTTCCTGGGCCTAAATGCTAGACGGCAAACCCACAGTGCTTATGGTGTGCCAGACACATAGGGTAGGAGGTGAGGGAACCCAGATACCTTTCTCTGACCAAGAAGGGCTATGGGCCTATAGGGGCTTTGAGCAAATCACTGAATCTTCCTGGGGCTGTCAACTTCCTCATGTGGGAGGAAACCGGGCAGAGGAGTGGGGAGCAGGGCAAGGCCCAGAAAGTCATGAGTTCCCCATCCCTTTGCTGAACACCTGTCACCTGCCAGCCACTGCTCTAGGCACTGGGGCATGAAGATGAGCCCCGACAGCCCTGCACTTCAGGGGCTCACCTCCTAGTGGAGGGGCAGATGTGTGCCCAGCCGGTTATGGGACAAAATGGTAAATTCAGACAAAGCTGGGCTCGTATGGGAAGGCGTTCCAGAGAGGTTGCATCTTGCTTGGGAAATAGGAAGAGTGTTCATTTGGGGGCACATTTTTTTTGTCCTTATTCTCTCTGTTTTTTTTTTTTTTTCTGCTTTATTTTTTCCTGGCTCAAATGGTCCTAGCCCTAGTGACCTCCCCTTCAAGAAGCAGTACAGCCCAGTGGCTGTTCCAGGTTCAGTAGTGTCCTTGTAAAGCTCATGTCTACTCTGCAGCTCAGAATGTGGCTGTGTTGGAAATAGGGTCTTTGCAGACATAATTCCTTAAGATGAGGTTATATAGCATTAAGAGGGGCCCTAAACCCAGTGACTGGTGTTCTTATAAGAATTCGACATGTGGACCCAGCCACACGCAGAGGGAGGAAGGCCTTGTGAAGATGGAGTAGAGATTGGAGTGATGCAGCTATGAGCCAAGGAATGTTAAGGATTGATAGTAACCCCTGGAAACTAGGAAGAGGCAAGAGAGGATTCTCTTCTACAGCCATTCGAGGGAGCATGGCCCTGCTGACACCTTGATTTCTGACTTCCAGCCTCCAGGACTGTGAGACAATTTCATTTGTTTTAAGCCACACAGTTTGTGATACTTTGTTATGGGAGCCCCGGGAAACTCTACAGTGGCTAAGCACGTAGATCCTGGCATACGGCCTCATTTCTTTTGTTTTTTTTTTCTTTTTTGAGACAGAGTCTCATTCTGTCTCCCAGGTTGGAGTGCAGTGGCATGATCTTGGCTTGCTGCAACCTCCACCTCCCAGGTTCAAGCAGTTATCCTGCCTCAGCCTCCTGAGTAGCTGGGACTACAGACATGTGCCACCACGCCTGGCTAATTTTGTATTTTTAGTAGAGACGGGGTTTCACAATGTTTGTCAGGCTGGTCTCGAACTCCTGACCTCAGGTGATCCACCCGCCTTATCCTCCCAAAGTGCTGGGATTACAGGTGTGAGCCACTGCACTTGGCCGCCTCGTTTCAAATCTTACTTAAGCTGTGTGACCTTAGGTAAGTGACTTGACTCCTCTGTGCCTCGGTTTCTTCTTTGTAAAATGGTGATAGTATTAGCATTTACCTCGCAGGACTGTGTGAGGGCCGTAATAAGTTAATGAAGGCAGAGCATGTAAAATAGTGCCCAGCACATAGAAAACACTGCGTGTTTGTGATTATTATTTGAAGTCCATCTACACTCCCGCTTCTGAACCACAGAGCTCTCCTCGTACCCCAGAGTGAGGCCGAGCTGCCTTGTCTGTCTGTCTGTCTGTCTGTCTGGGCCTTAGTCTCCACTGTTCCTAGAGAGGGGCTGTGGGCACACCCTCACAGCATCTCAAGTGGACACGTGTGGGCAGCTTGTCCCCCTGTTCCTCTTTCATTGTCCTTGTCCCGCCTTTATTTTATTCAGGCTGCAAGGATAGAAAGTGGGAGAACCCAGACACCTTTAAAAGTAGAGTTTCCTCCAGTGGAGAAGAGCTGTGAACCTAACAGCTGGGGGGCTTTGAGCAAGTTACTCAATCCTGGTGGGCCTCTGTTTCCTCATGTGTGAAACGGGAATGATGGCTCACCCCAACATCAGACGGCTGCCTAAGGATGACAGGAAGTGAGACCATGACTCCAGGGAGCAGCTGTCAATAAATGTTCCATGCAAGAAAATCCACACCAGAAAGACATTTGTGCTAGTCTCAGTCAGGCATAGAAAGAAGCACATTTTTACTATGGCTTAAACCTCACACATACGGGGCCATTCTGCATGGGCTGTTGGCGTCAGGTGCCCAGGCGATGGGACCCCACAGCCCTGCAATGTCTCAGCGTGGGCATCGGTGCAGTGACCAGCTTTCCTGGGGCTGTTTCTGACTCAGTATAGGGTGAGGATGGAGTTGGACTCCACTCAGTGTGGGGGCCCTGACATTTCCCCTTCAGGCATGGGTCTTCTTTGGATGTCTGATGGATTTTTGCTCTGCCAATGGCAGCCACAGAGTGGGACATACTGCTGGCCATGGGGGCCTGGGATGTGTGTGTGTGTGTGTGTGTGTGTGTGTGTGTGTGTGTGTGTGTGTGTGTGTGTGTGTGATGCAGCAGCCAAAACAGCTTCCATGAAGTATCTACCAGGTTGGAGAGGTAGGAGGAGCTGGGAGAAGGGAGGGTCAGAGGTCAGCCAAGTGCAAGTCTCAGTTACTGTATTTTTGGGTAGGAACGAGGTCCATCAACAGAGAAGTGTCTTGTGAACATCCACAGCTAAATGGCAGCTTTACCCTTTACACACCTTGCCTCATATGTAAGCTAAGGGCCATCACTTTGACCACCAGCATAAAATGTCTGCACTATGGGCACGTGTTAAAGAATTCAGAGACATGCTGAAGAAATGAACTGTTAGAGACTTTTTATTTTATTTTTATTTTTTGAGATGGAGTCTCACTCTGTCACCCAGGCTGGAGTGCAGTGGCGCGATCTCGGCTCACTGCAAGCTCCGCCTCCCAGGTTCACTCCATTCTCCTGCCTCAGCCTCCCAAGTAGCTGGGACTACAGGCGCCTGCCACCATGCCCAGCTAATTTTTTTTGTATTTTTAATAGAGACGGGGTTTCACCGTGTTAGCCAGGATGGTCTCGATCTCCTGACCTCGTGATGTGCCCACCTCGGCCTCCCAAAGTGCTGGGATTACAGGTGTGAGCCACCGTGCCCGGCCTGTTAGAGACTTTAAATGGATGCTTCCACCTTTATTTCTTTGGATTCTTCACATTTGATTCATGTAATAAATTGGGTATTTAGAAAGCAATGTATCTGGGCTGTATTTGCTTTATTCTACAAAATTGGGTTTATTGAATTACAGTTTAAATGTGTTCATGAGCCATATAGAGTTGATTAGAAAAGAAAAAACAAAACCACTCATTTGAAGAACATTTCTGTCTCTTGTAGAAATATAAGAACATGTCCTCTGCAATGTCACACACAATCTTTTATAGAAGGATCTATGCTACAGGTTCTTTTCTGGATCTAGTGTCAGGGAAAACATGTTTATCTCTACAGCTGACTTGTAGTGACTTGATTTGTTTCCCTTTTCACCTTAGCTGCCAGGAAACCTGTGGCCACATTCAGTGCCTGATTGTGAGAACTAGTTCACCTTGGACTCCTGTTAACACATACTCCTTTGTTCCCTTTTAATAAGTCTATTTTGCTTACATTCCTAATTATGCTATTTTATATTACATCTTCTCTCAAATCCTTTAAAAATGGACAATTCTTCTGGGTGTATACCCAAAATAATTGAAAGTAGATATTTCAACAAAAAACATAAACATGAATGGCTGTAGTGGCACTATTTAAAATAGCCAAAAGGTGGAAACACTCCAAAATGTCCATCATCTGATGAATGAATAAACATGTGGTCTATCTCTATAACGGCCTATTATTCAGCCATAAAAGAGTGACATTTTGATACATGCTACAACATGGATGAACCTAACCTCAAAAATGTGTTAAGTGAAATAAGCCAGATACAAATGCATGTGCATATTTTATGATTCCATTTATATCAAATGTCCAGAATTGATAAATCCATAGTTGCCAGGGACTGGGGAAAGGGAAGAAAGGGGAGTGTGACTGCTCAATAGATACAGGATATTTTTTGGGGGGTGATGACAATGCTTTGGCACTAAATAGAAGTGATGTTTGCATGACATTGTGAGTGTATTAAATGCCACTAAATTATACATGTTAAGATGGCTAATTTTATGTTATGTAAATTTGCCCTCAATTAAAACAATAGTGCATTAATTTTTTTAATGAGTGGAGTATATAAATGCCACTTGAATGAAAATGGTGTGCTGGGCTCTCAGTGGAACATCTCACTGCTCTGGGTCACAGGCAGGGTGTTTCCCTCCCTGCTCACTGCTCTGTTTGTCTCTCCCAAAGCTGCCTTCCATCCAAGGTGGCAGCTGTCCCAGGAGCCCGCTCTCTGATGGAAGTTGACGCAGAAGTTATGCTCTTTGGTTAGCTTTTTAGGACGAGTTTTCATGATCCATTTACAAATAAATCAGAAGAACTCAGTGATATGAGCTGTATGAGAGAAGGCTTCTGCTTTCTCTAAAGACTCTGTAAACTTAGAGGAATTTCTAAATAAAACCAGGGGCAAGTTGCTCCAGGTGTTCGCTCTCTCCTGCCCTTGGGGAAGACCCAGCAGCATCATCTTCACAGGCACCACCTGGGAGAGTTGTTCCTGCATCTGAGCTTTCCCTCTGGCCAGTTTGTTCAGTTCCAAACCATCATGGTGCAAAGGCAAGAAACCAATTGAGGAATTGCAGAGGAACAACTGCTTGAGATACAGGACATTCTGTAGCATTCCTTTATTTCTTTGAAAACCTGAGGCTAGGGCTTTTTTGGGTTTCATTTTAAGAATTTCTTCCATCTTCAGGCTTCCGCGAGGAAGATAGATCAGGTCATTGCTCTCTGTTTTGGAATCGGGCTGCTCTTCGAATTGCTTCTCTCCTGGTGCTTCCAGGAGGCCAGCACAGTTAGAGGGGTCTGAGGCTGCCTCCCTTTGAGAGGCCCTCCCTATTCAAGAAAAACATTTCTTCCTAGGTGTGGGCTCCCTTCATTCCCTCTTTCTTAGCTTTTTCTTGGGGCAGTGCTTCATAAACACTTGTACATCATTGCACACAGAGAAATTGATAATATTTGTTATTTGTGTAGCACCATGAGGACACATAGAAGAGGGTATTTACAGCTGGATGTGACCTGCCGGGTGGCCTCCCCAGATCCTATGTGGACAGTGTCTGTACTGCATTGGCTGGCAAGATAGAGTTTGAAGGTAGGGAAGGGGATGAGGGATATGTTTAGCCTGCTTTTGCCAGAAGCCCAGAATGAGTCTGTCATTTACCTGTCAGTGCCCAGATCCATTCCCTGCCCTTCAGGCCTGACCCCTGGAAATTACATCTCCCAGGACCCTTTGCCAACTGGCTGGGGGCTGGGTTTGGCCAATGGAAGGCACTGTTTGAGTCTGTGGTCAGGAACAGAGAGGGCAAGCTCCCTGCCTCACTCTCTGGGTAGTGGTCTTTGCATCTTTAGCAATGGTTGTGTTTCTTAGTATTTGCAGCTTCTGCTGGGCAGTCCCTGCTGTTCCTGGCTCCTGCCAGACGGCTCTGACCCTGGGCTTCACAGCACCACTTCCTCCTTTTATCCCTTCAGCCTGGGGTCTTTCTGCTGTTGCTTATCTCTGTGTTGCCTTGTGGCTACCTGTTTGGCTTTTTAGCAACTCCAAGATGTCACCCGTTTCCCCATTAAATTTCCTCTCTCAAGTATAGGATGTGAATTCCGTTTTCCTGACTGGTCTCTGACTGATAGGGCATCCTAGCCACTCCCATGTGGTCTTCCAAATAGCACCAGCTGGTAACAGAACACACATTGGATTAACCTTGTTCTTTGTGCATACACCTTCCTTATCAACCCATGGCGGCAGTAGGCAGCTGCCTAGAATTTAGGACCCCGACAGCTGGCCAAACATCATCTCCCCATGACCAATAATGGGGAAGAACAGAGGTTTGGGGCAGCTGCTTCTCTTGTCTGTCTAGAAAACTCCTATGCATCCATTAAGGTGCATATATCACTACCTCTTCGTCACTGTCTTCTTTTTCCTCTCATTTCCTCTATCTTGGATCAGTTGTTTCTTCATCTGTATTCCCAAACCAGTTTATAGAACTTATGCCTAATAGTAGTTTTTCCATTATAATTACACATAGATTTATTTCCCTTATTAGTCTTCAAGTTTGCTGTGGGCAGTACCTGGTCCCACTCAACTCTGTATGTCCAATGCCTCACTCAGGGCACGATGCTTGGCACATTGCAGGCAATGACATCGTTTTGTTGAATTCGTTGGCCCTCTAACTTGATCCCCTAAGGAACCTTTAAAAAATACTCAGACTCTACTGCAGACCAATGAAATTGCAATCTCTGAGGGTGGGCTCCAGGCATTGGCATTTTCAAAAGGTTCCCTAGGTGATTTTGATGTGCAGCCAGCACTGGGAACCATTGGTTTATTTGACTGCTTCAGCTTACCACTTGCTGTTTATTAATGAGTCCTGCCATCAAACCCAGCTCTTCCTGCAGTTTAATTCAACGTAGCAAATCACTGTGAGTGCCTACTCTGTGGCCAGGCATTGTGCAGGCACACTCTTGCTACTCAAAGTGTGTTCTATGGACTAGCAGCCTCAGCCATCCTGGGAGCTTGTTAAAAATGCAGAATCTCAGACCCCGCCTCATTCTGACCTATGAGTCAGAATTTGCATTTTAACAACATGCCCAGGTGGTTTGCATGCACTTTATAGCCTGAGACACAGTGATGTAGCATCATGCAAATGTCAAATTGCTTTCTCACTGTGAATCTTATTTCCTTTGTGTCCACTCTATTTTGATTCCCTTTAGAGGGGTATCATTTTATATCCCTTTCTCCAGCTAAAATGGGACATCCAAAGGGGGTGGAGACCAAGCAGGAGTCAGATGAGATGAAGGATCCCCTTGAGTGTGGGAGGGATGTGGGAGGGAAGAAATGGACTTTGAGAGATGGAAGCCTTCCTGGGCACACAGAGTGCCAGTGTTTGGGAGGCCTTGGGGATGGGCTGTTTGGAAGGGATGTCTCCTGTTTCTGACATTGCCACTTCCTTGGTTATGATCCAGGCATGCTGGAGGGATGTTGTGGCCATAGTGGCTAGAGGACTGCAACAGATCCCATTGCAGGGAGTGGGGTGACATCGATGCAAACCAAGTAGCCTTACTTGCCTCATGCCTTTGGGATCCACACACCGTAGGAAGTTTCTGCAGGCTGGCCTCCCAGAATCCACAAGGTTACCTGTTGTTCAAGTTAAAATGGAATATGATGACTTGTGTCCACAGGAGCAGTGGCTTTTAAAGGCAGCCAGGAAGGGGCTGAGAATCTTTGCACATCTGATTGCATCTCTGCCATCTCCCATGAGCTGAGCACATCTGGCCCTGGTCTGTTGAGGCTGTGTTTGAGGGTGATGCTGATGATAGCTCCGGGAAGCCAGGAGGGGCCTTGGCTTATCTGGGGAAAATAGCCTTATCTGGGGACCTGCTTCTTTTGCCTGCAGCAGAGGCCTCTGCCATGTACTGTCGCATGGTTGGTACTAAACCTTTGAGAAGACAAAGAAGAGGCAGGATATCCTTCTCCAGAGAAAAAAGCTCTTGTCCCCCTAATATACTGCTTTGCCACCTGAGTCTCTGTGACTGGATGAGGCCACAGTGATAGCACATAACCTGCTTCAACAGGACAGCTGTGTGTATTTCATCTTGAACTCTTCAGATAGATTTAACAGAAGCTTTTGGAGGAATTGGGATTGTGTTTGAGAAACGATGTAGTAAGGGTGTGTTTGGGCTCTGGGCAGGAAGTCAGAAGGTGTTGGGGGGAAAGAGTGACATCTGTGGGTAGCTCAGTTGTCCTGACTGCCTCAGCACTGAAGACAGTTCCACCACCCAGCTCATGGGACAACTATCCCCGCAGTGCCATCCTGGAGGCAGGTGCCTGGGGACTCGCTGGAGGCAGGTAATATAATAGTCCCAGCAATCACCTTCTCATGAAACCAGCCTGTTAGGGTCAAGCAACCTGACAAATACCATTGAGCTCCTGGCCCGAGGGCTGGGGATGCAGCCAGGAATAAAACAGGCCCTGATGGACCCACAATGTCGGGGCGGAGCTAGACGCTAAGCCAGTGACTCCGAGTTTGACTGTGAATTCCCTGAAGGAGGAACAGAAGGTTCTGGGTAATGTAGACCTGGGGCGCTGACCAAGCCTGGGCCTGGGGGTCCCTGAGGAAGCACATTTCCCCTGAGACTTGAAGGAGTTGACCAGGGGCAATGGTGTGTCTGGGGACAGTCTCAGGGAGAAGCACCAGCAGACACTAACAAAGGCCCTGCGTGGGGCCTCCGATGCAGAGACAGATGGCTGTGGCTGCAGGGCTATGGCCGAGGTGGGAGCAGGGAAAGGAGCTGTGAGCCAGGAAAGACCCGGCCCCGCCCGCCTGGCCACTGTAAGGAGTGTGGGTTTCTCCTCAGAACCAGGACTCTTTGAGGTTTCTGGAGAGGTTTGTTTTTTTTTTTTTTTTTTTCGAGACGGAGTCTTGCTCTGTCGCCCAGGCCGGAGTGCAGTGGCGCAATCTCGGCTCACTGCAAGCTCCGCCTCCCGGGTTCGCGCCATTCTCCTGCCTCAGCCTCCTGAGTAGCTGGGACTACAGGCGCCCGCCACCGCGCCCGGCTAATTTTTTGTATTTTTAGTAGAGACGGGGTTTCACCGTGTTAGCCAGGATGGTCTCCATCTCCTGACCTCGTGATCCGCCCGCCTCGGCCTTCCAAAGTGCTGGGATTACAGGCGTGAGCCACCGCGCCCGGCCTGTTTTTTTGTTTGTTTTTTGGTTTTTTTTTTTGAGATGGAGTCTCGCTGTCGCCCAGGCTGGAGTGCAGTGGCGCGATCTCGGCTCACTGCAGGCTCCGCCCCCCGGGGTTCGCGCTATTCTCCTGCCTCAGCCTCTTGAGTAGCTGGGACTACAGGTGCCCGCCACCTCGCCCGGCTAATTTTTTTTTTTTGTATTTTTAGTAGAGACGGGGTTTCACCGTGTTAGCCAGGATGGTCTCCATCTCCTGACCTCGTGATCCGCCCGCCTCGGCCTCCCAAAGTGCTGGGATGACAGGCGTGAGCCACCGCGCCCGGCCTCTGGAGAGTTTTAATAAGTGTCTTCCAAGGCATCTCTAGCTGCTGTGGGGAATGGATTAGAAAAGGCGGCTGAGCAGATCCCGGAAGATGAGGTCGGCAGCTGTTGCAACTGGACCCCTCTTCATTAAGCTGTCCACATTCATAAGGCACACTCCAGGTCTGCAGGAGGGAGCATGAGGGATTCAGGGGACGCCCTTGTCCCCTGTACACACCTAGGGGCCGGTTCGACTACAGTAGGTAGGTCAGGGTTATGGGAGACTCTGTTCAGCCTGTGTGCCTTCCCATCCCCAAAGTCCTTAGGAGCCTTCTCTTGTAGTCAGGCCCGCCATTTTATTTATTCAGGGCCTGGAGAACGAGTAGGGGCCAAACCGGGGTGAGAGGGCTGACCCTGGAGTCACCGTTTTGGGGGCTTAGGATAGCCCTTGTTCAGAAGCGGGCTGTGTGCAGTTGGGTTACCTTTCAGTGCTCAGGAAATAGAGGGCTGTGGCTGGCTGGCTTCCTGTATCCCTAGGATGATATACCAGAGCTCATGTCTGTAGAAGTTTGTAGCCTCCTAGGAAGAGATCTGTGGCAGATCATGTAATAAGTGTGATTTCACGTAAGCATCGCTGCCATGCTGGGCTCTTGGACCTCTGTGGGACCTTGGGGAGATGCTTGCAGGAGAGGCCTCAAAGGCCTGGCTGGTGAGATGGGAGGGTCTGAGAGCCGAGGCCCACGTAGGCCAGTCTGGGCGGTGGACACATTCTGGCTTGCGGTTTCCCCATGCTCTCTTGAACCAGGGAAGTCTGTCATCCCTTGTGTTTCTCACCCCACACGGACACTAAGGCATCAAGGCTCCAGCTGAAATGCATTTTAAACCCTGAATCCAGATCCCTCGTCTTCCCACCATATACAGAACCACATGCTAAGCTTAGCAGCAGGGGGAGAAAATCACTTTTTATGAACGTCACTGTCAGCCCTGGATTGTTTTCTTCTTTCTCTCCAATTTCTCAGCACTCCTGAGAATGCTGATTTTCCTGGTAGGAAGGGCAGGACTGATGTGGGATATTGCCCAGACTGTAACAAGAATCTCAGAAACGCATCATCTTTCCCATCATATTCCTTTCCTTTTCCCTCACCTCCTGTCAAAGTGGTTTGATCCAACTGAGTTTGATCCAATGGGAGAGGGGCTTGTACCTCACCACTCAGGTAGCCCTGCTCTGCTGAGAGGTGACACCTGATGAATGTGCCTGAGCCAGAGACTGTGCCCAGCAGGTGGCACGCCCCCAGTGAATATTTGTCCAGTGACTGCAGCCTCGCTTCCCTTCACCAGCAGGTCTGGATGTATGGAATGAGAGTCTGTGGCTTGGGCGGGCTCCCATTCTCACACCTTTATGTAACTGATTAGTTCATCCAGAAAGAATTTTTAACACCTCCTAGGGTGCAAGCAGGGTGCAAAGGAAAGGGCCTTTCTGAGGGGAGAAAAGATACACCCACAAAAACTCTGATCCCAAAACAGACTGTGATAAGGCTGGAAGGAGAACCTGGCCAAGGATCAGGGCATCAAAGGAAGAGTTTGTAGAGTGAGCAGCATTAGAAATGGCTGATTGTAGGAGTAGAAGTGATCAAAATCTGGCTTCCCTACATTTCTATAATGTGTTATCGTTAATTGTGATTTTTTTATAGACAGTGGCTTGTTGAATCATCTCAAGAACTCTGTGAAATAGGCAAGACTTTTTTTTAATTTTTCAAGTTAGAAGGTAATAGGGGAGAGAGTATGCCAGAAGGAGAGAAATCCCAAGACTGGCGAGAGCAGGTGTCTGAAAGGCATTAGATTGTTGGGATTAAGAGCAACTGCTGCGGAATCCAATGGAGGAGAGAGTTTGTATCTGGACTTCACTTAAAAAATTACCTTTGCTTGACTAACACAAGAACAGAAAACCAGACACCACATGTTCTCACTCATAAGTGGGAGTTGAACAATGAGAACACACGGACACAAGGAGAGGAACATCACACACTGGGGCCTGTTGGCAGGTGGGGAGAAAGGGGAGGGAGAGCGTTAGGACAAATACCTAATGCATGTGAGGCTTAAAATGTAGATGATGGGTTGATAGGTGCAGCAAACCACCATGGCATATGTATACCCGTGTAACAAACCTGCACATTCTGCACATGTATCCCTGAACTTAAAGTAACATTTAAAAAAATTATCTTTGCTTTTTTTTAAAAAAATTATTTTTATTGATACATAATAGACATACATATTTTGGGGTACATGTGATAATCTAATACATTCGTATAATGTGTAAAGATCAAATCAGGGTTATTGGGATAGCCATCACCTTAAATATTTATCTTTTCTTTATTCTAGGAACATTTGAATTACTTTCTTCTCGCTATTTGGAAATGTACAATAGATTAATGTGAACTATAGTCACCCTACTGATCTATTGAACATTAGGTCTTATTTCTTCCATCTAACTGTATATCCATACCCAATAATCAACCTCTTTTAGCCGTGTGAGGTTTGAGAAGGTCGCTCAACCTCTTGGTGCCTTTCATTTATAAACAAGAATGATAAAACCTGTTCGTTAGGGTGGTTATGGGATTGAAATGAGATTAGGGGGGTAAATGCAGAGACTGACACACAGTAAAAGCTCAAACAGTGCAACTCTTTATTCTTTTAAGTGGATTATTGGGGTCTGAGTCATGCGGTAGGAGACAGAGCTGGAAAGACACACATGGGTTCCCATGTGTAGCAGCTGGTAGACAAAAAGGTGTCTTAGTTTGGGAATCCCTAGAAGCAGATCCTGAGAGAAATATTCAAGGGCAAGTGATTTATGTGGGAAGTAATCTCAGGACTTCTAGGTAGGGGAATGGGGAACTGAGATGGGAAGTCAGGAAGAGTGTGTACCGAGCTAGCAATCACTGTGGGAAACTGGATCTGGGATATTTGTCCGCCATCATTGCTAGGAGGGCTGCTCCTGGGGTATTAAGCCCTGCAGACACTTGGCCCACTCCAGAGAAAGCTCTCAGGAAGAGAGAAGCAGGTGCTGGCCACTGGGAGCCAGCTAGCATCAAAAAGTGGGAAGGTCTGAGGGACATCAGTGGGACACACAGAGTGTTTGCTTGGCAAGATTTGCAGTGTCTCATCCAGCCCCTGCCCAACCAGATTCTCCTGCTGGCCAGTGGCATTTTACTTCCTAGGGAATCAGCAATGCTAGTTTTCCTTCTTTATCTTCTGGTCTTTGGTCTTGTTAGTTCTGGGATCTCACGTTTGTGGGAAACAAGACTCATGGGTCACACTCAGCCTTTGGACACACAGGTGTGGATGCTCTCCTTGGCAACATCCTTCTCTCCAGGACAGCACTCTGTGCAGCTGCACAGGTCATGGTGAGGAGATGGGCTTGAATGGAAACTTGCAGGCAGCCTCTGAGGAATCCTAGGACAGGAACAGGTCTGGGGCCCAACTGGCCACACCCTGAAGATGGACATGAATGGGTCGCTTAGTCAAAAGGGCATCTGTATCTCCATAACTCCCCCAAATGACTGTCTGGAGCACACAGCTGAGCACGGGACAGCTTTCAGAAACACTGACTCACTTTTTGGGTTCTTTGAGGTTTCTGCTTTAGAGAATGGGGCATTCTGCCTGTTGCTGCCAACTATGACTTCACACTGCACAGAGCAGCTGGCTGGGAGAGGAGCCCTGTCTCCCAAATGTGGAGATGAATGATTGAAGGGAAAGGCCAGGAGAGAAAGTCAGTGAAGTGGGGGAGATGTCGAACGGAAGTGAAGTTGAAAGAGCCTGAGCAAGGCTGCTGAGATACAGGCTGGTGGAGAAAAAAGCCCCTCGTGCCTCCCCGCTTAGGATTGGATTAGCTAGGAGAAGACCTGGAAGGCAAGAAACGAAGACCAGGAGGAAGGCTCCTGCAGGTTTTGGCCAGCAGTAGTCAGCTGGAGAATGGCTATTAACAGCTGTTTGGGGGTCCTAATCTGTGGAACCCTGACCTTCTTCAGAGGAAAATAGATCTTCACATTTAGGCCTTGATGTAGTCTTTTTTTTTTAGGAATCCAGACCTGTTGGAAGGGCACCATCTATGACAAAGAAATGAGGGAGGAAATAGAAGAGAGAGTGACTTGGAACATCATTCAAATGTATTTTATAAAGTTGTTATCAGTAAGAAGAGCTCTGTATGCCCTATGCAAGCATTTATTCCAGGGGTGTGAAAAGAACCCCTTATGAGCAGACCCAGTGGACAGGGGCTCCTTGGCAAACAGGCAGTTTCCATTAAGAAAAAGCCCAACATCATGGTGGCCTGGCCCTGTGTTCTGAAGTATTCGGACCCCAAGACATCTGCAGGCAGGGCTAGCACCTCACAGTTTTAAGTACAGGGAACAGCAGAGACTCAACCTTCTCTGCTGGGAGGAATGGCCTTTGTGTCCAGATGGCGTGAATTGGGAGTGTTTTCCTCAGGGATCATTTGCACCTTAACCTCTCTGCACTCCTGTAGCATGTACGAGGTGTGCAGGAGGAGAGGGTTTGTTGTCACACAGGTTCCTTGAGAGTCTGAGCTGAAGACTACTGTGAAGTTTATTACCATTATAGAATTCAGATGCAAGTCCTGTGCTGGCCTAGGTTTTGAATTCTTGAATTGCACATGATATGGTGGCTTCACACACCCTTAGAACCGAGGGACAACACCCATGAGACCCGTGGGTGGTAGGTGTCTGCACACTTGTAAATGCAGCTTTTAGTCATTTTGAATTACCAATGGCATGCTGGTGAGGAAAAGGAATAAAACTATCAATAGGTGGGCTCAGGTCAAAGGGAAACTAACCAGCTGCTGGGCTGGTCCCCAGAGTCTAGCCAGCACTCCCATTCCAACATATCATGGTGGGTAAGATATCAGGGCTTGAATCTGATTGGGACTGGTCTGGCTGACCGTGGTGCCTAATGTGGTGGATCTGGGAAGCACTCCTGTTGTTAACCGAAAATTAATAATGCGGCGTAGACAGGGATCTACATGGTTTGAGATTGGTCCATGAGCCATTAGCAAGATGCTGATGAGAAAGTGTGAGCAGGACTTGAGTCCCTCTGCCAGGAAAAGGAAAGATGATGGTGTGCTCGCTGCATTGTTAGAGCCTAGCTGAGCAGCTGGGATTTGGGCAGAGCTCTTGTCCCAGATTTTCAGCATCTCATTGAAGTGGCAATCAGAGCCTGTGATAGAGACCCTGTCATATTGCTAAGGCGCTTCCAGTAGGCTTGGAGGGAGGGCTGCAGCTTGGTGGTTGTATTAGTCTGTTCTCCCACTGCTATAAAGAACTGCCTGAGACTGGGTAATTTATAAAGGAAAGAGGTTTAATTGACCCACAGTTCCACATGGCTGGGGAGGCTTCAGGAAACTTACAGTCATGGCAGAAGGGGAAGCAAAAACATCCTTCTTCACATGGTGGCAGGAAGGAGAAGTGCTGAGCAAAGAGGGAAGAGCCCCTTATAAAACCATCAGATCTTGTGAGAACTCACCCATTATCACGAGAACAGCATGAAGGTAATTGCCCCATGATTCAATTACCTCCCACAGGGTCCCTTCCATGACACGTGGGGATTATGGGAACTACAACTCAAGATGAGATTTGGGTGGGGGCACAGCCAAACCATATCAGTGGTGCAGGAGGGGAAATCTCTCCAGGAACACCAGATGCCAGGCAGAGGGAGCTGGCACATAGTAGGTGCTTATAAATAAATGAAGTGGAGTTCCAGGCCATACCTGCTGTTGGGATTAGGCCTGGATAAATCAGCCTGACCTAGGCTTGGGAGAAGTTGAACCCACTGAGTAAAGATGCTCTAGGTTGGCGGCCAGTCCGGGCAGGTGGGAACTGATGAGTGGCTTCTGGCCATTGAGTCCTTCTTTGTGGTGAATGCAGGGGGACATGAGTGAGCTCTGTAACCAGAGGCTCAGAGCCTGGGCTCAATCATGCTCCCAATTTATTCACGGTCACCCACTATCTGGACTGCCATGGGCTGTGCCTCTTCCTTGTGCATAGTGTGAGAAGAGAGCTGATTGGGGTTGGACGTGAGAATCCTGGTGTGTTCTGGCTCTGACTCCCCTGACTCCCACCTGTAGGTTTTTCCTTCTCTTTACTCAGTGGGCACCAGCACCACTTCCTTTCTTGGAAGTGGTGGCCCAGGCTGTCCTGCTGAACTCCATTTCAGGAGCCAGCTGTGAGGTTCTACATTCCCAAGCCCCTGGGATCTTTGAGTAAACTCTGCTGCTACTGGCCTAGAGAGGAGGAATGCTTGCAGGGGTGAGGGCCAAAGACTGGGTCTCCCCAGACACTTTCCCCGGTGCTGGAGTTAAGGGCACAGACACCACTTTGACCTTGAGGTTTCCACTTTGTGCAGCGCAGAAGGTCAGTCCCAGGAGATGTGCTCCACCAGTCTCCCTAGAAGAGGGGCGGTTAGAGTCTTTGTTGCATTCCCCTGTCCTGCCCCACTATGGGACTCCTGGGATGGTGCCTTGGGCCTCCCTTCACTAATTTGGACAATTCCTTTCAGGATATTAAATGTTCTTGCCCAAGGGTGAAGCTGACAGCTCTGGGAAGGAGAACTCCTGCTGCATCCATGCAACATTTACTAGGGCTTTTTAGGAGCCAGGAGCCCCATTTGGCACCAGGGATGCAGAGATAAAAGACATAGTCCCTGCCCCAAGGATCATGGAGTCTTGTGGAGGAGATAGGCTTGTCAAAGAGTACCGGACGACATGATGAGTGTCCTGGGAGAGGTGCAGGCTCTGTTTGGAGTGGACTCTCACCAGCTCACATCAGTTAAAGCCTGGAAGTTGTGAAAGTAGTGAACTACTTCCATAATAAAGGGTAAATATTTGCTCCCTGAGCCCCCCAAGTGATGATGCCCAATATTCCAGTCTACCAGCCATTCCAGCCTGATACCTCCTTCTCCCCACCCCACCCTGTCCCTGGATCCAGGAACTAAGGATCAGTGCCTGGCTTAGGATGTGATGTCCATTTGGTCCTGAGTTTGTGCTCTATGAAGTGTTACTTGTCTCAAATATCAGCCCTAGTTCCATGATGGACAGCACAGCAGAGAAATTTGTGACTGAGAAACAGGGGGCCAAGGAAGGCTTTCCAAAGGCGAGGACATCCTGGCTGAGTTGTGCAGGATGAGACTCTGAGGAGTGTGTGTCAGTCAGCATCTCTCCTCAGCTCTCTGTTTTGTGCTTCTTGGGCCCTTGGCATTGGACCTCAGCCCTGTCCCAGGCTACTTAGACAGCTCTTTCCCACTGCAGGTTGGAGCCCACCTGGTCCCAGCTTCAAGGAGAAGCTTCTGGGAATTTCTGCAAGGTCTGAATGCTTACTGAGCGCAGAACTGAGCATGGGGCACGAGGAGGGTGAACAAAATAAATAGAATGCAGCAGACTTTGTTGTCAAGGAATTTATGCTCTCACAAGGGAAGCCAGGCAGATAATGCCTAGACACACAGGTGACAGGATTACATACATACATCAGCAGCCACCTAGAAAAATTTCTCAGGAATTAGAGGGTGAGGCTGGGATCACTGAGTGACTGTGACTGGGTGGCGATGGTTTGTTAAAAGCTTAGGGGAGAGGAAGATGTGGCACTTTGGAACCCCAGGAGGAGACATTCAGCTCCACTGACATTCTGAGTACCCAGAGGTGGGCAGGGAGAGGCACCATGGCTCAGAGGACACTGGAGGGAACCATATCTGGGCAGCCAGGGCTTTGTTTGGCTGACTTGTAAAGTGCAGGCTGGGTTATGAGAGGAGGAGGAAGCAGTGGGTAAGGATGGGAAGGGGGTGGCTGGGAAGAGTCTCACACTACACGTCTGTCACAGCCTCAGCCACTGAAGCTACAAGTAGGGTTACCCTCCCTGCCATGGTGGCCCCAGTCCTGACCTCAATTCCTGCCCAACCCGAGGATTGCTTTTCTTTTTGAAGAGGAAAATAAACATTCTTTGAGCCCTAGCATATTTCAGGGAATGTGCTAGGGCTTTTTACAAACACTATTTTAGTTCATTGTTATGATGCCTCCATGAGTTCAGCATCATTATCTCTATTTTACAGATAAGGAAACTGAGGCCATGGGAGATCACCTAGCTTGTCAGTGACAGACTGGAAAGTGAAGCTCAGTGCTGACCCCAAAGCTGTTATTTTTTTTCATTATAACAAACCGCTTCCAAAAATAGTACAGGGAAGAACCAGAGGGGAGACGGCATGATGATGCCTGGCAGGTGGATTTCTCTGTAGAAGTAAGCACACCTCCCTGGAGTAGCTTGATGTTTTATTTTCTTTGAGAAAAAGATGAGGACACATGGGGACAGGAAGAATGAGAGTCACAAAAGCCATTTACACAGGTCCCATTAGCAACCCCCTTTCCTCTCAGCTTCCAGCTGGATTCAAGCCTCAGGAAAGCATCTCAGTAGTGCAATGGTTTGGACACGGGAAACAGAGAAAAAGTTGCTTCTGTCCTCAAAGGGTCTGTAGCTCTGTTTATAGTCCCTTCTCCTCAGTTTCAGATTTCCTGCAGGCTTAAGGCTTCCTAATAGAAGTTTGGTTTGGTGTGAGGCGTTTGATAGCCATTGGGATGTCTTGGGCCTGTAGGGGACATGATCGATGTCATCTTTGTAAAAAATGGAGCCTAGAACAAGTTAGCACTCAAAGAATGAAAGCTGAAAGGGTTGCTAAGAGGTCCTCCTATCCTTCTGGGCATGAGGCTGTCTAAGATAGAAGCTGTAGAAATAAAAAGACAAGGGAAGTTACTTGCAATATCAGGAAGGAGGGACTGATGGGACTTGAATCTGAGAAAGAAAAGACCTCACAGAGCCTTTTGAGTAGATGTGGTCAATGGATGATACTTTCATGGTCCTTCCATGTACTGTGCCCAGGGCAGACATCACTAATCAATCACAGAGGTTTTTTTTTTTTTTTTTTTTTTTTTTTTTTTTTGTCCTGCTCAACCATAGACCTCTTCTAATCACAGCACTCTGTGTTAGCTCTTGCCAACCCACTAGTATTGTACATAAGTTAAAATTGACTGACCATCTCTGCTGCCATGTTTCAAGTCAGGAGTACTCATTGAAGGTAGTTTGGGAAAGTTCAGGTGGGAAGAGTGAGCCATTCTGTCCATATTTGCTCTTTAGAGTTCAGGGGAATGCATATTGTGATAACAAGAACTTCAGGACAGGAGACAGGTTAGGCATCAAGGGTAGAGCTGTAGAACTAGAATCAATCTCTAATTAGGCAGTAATTGAAGTCATGTGAATGGAGAGATGCCTTCCCAGAGGGTGAGTATATGAGGAAGAGAACAGATGGTTTATTGCTGGAGGAAAGGAATTGGGTGGCAATGATGAAGTAAGGGAGAGAAAAGCGAACAAGAGAGAAACCTGCATTTCCTTCACTTGGGTGAGGAAGGCTACTGCTCCAGCTCCTTAAATGGAGCCCTCTGGAACCTTCAGAAATTCCAGAGCTGGTTTCCTTACAGATAACAAGGGTGAATATCATTTCCTCCCTTTCAGGCCCCAGATGTAAGTAGGTGTTCCTCTCAGTGCTCAGGTCTTACAGGAGCTGGCCCTGGGGCCTGCCTCCCTCCTGCAGCCCCTGCTCCACATTCTTCTGCAGCCCCCATCCCAGCCCACCCTTCCTTCTTCATCCTGTGACTTCTCTCTTCTTCACTGTGCCTCGGTCGCATCCCGGCTTGCTGTGCACGAAAGAGAGGGCCAGGCATCACAAATGTGATCTTGTCTTTCTGATGCTTACCTTGACTAATCACACTGACACCCTCAGGTTCTGGGATAATTATTCCTGCAAAGTCAAGGACTCCCTTTCCTCCTAGTGACCTGAACTTACCCTCTAACAATGAAAATGCCCCAAGCTTTGGAGCGACTTTTCTGCATTAACTCTGAGGCAGAGTTGCAGTGAGAAAATCTACCCTTTTAATGGGCGAAAATATTGCCCTCATAAGTCTTTATGCAATGCACTTGAGCTTAATGCTCACTCACCAATTCGCCTTTATAACTTCCATATTGAGTGAATTAAGTCCTCCATGCGGGTAGTTATTAAAGAAGTGATAAGTGCTTTATAATTCAGTAAAGGGTGGCCTGGCCATTTCATATTTTCCTAAGGAAATTGGCCACCCAAAGGGCAGCATTCTCAGAACCCCTGGGGCCAGCTGATTTTAGGCACAGAGCTCGCACTATTGGATTACTTTCAAGCCAGCTGCTCAGGCCTGGACCAAACTCCTTCTCACTCAGGCTTTTCCCCCCAAGACCCCTTGGGGAGTAAGGGTCAAAATCAATGTCTGTCTCCCTGCCCGAGGCTGTTTTTACTCTTGATCAAAGGCCTCCATTTTCTCCCCTGGTTCAAAGCTAAGATGCCTAGTAAGGATCAGAGGTTTTATAATCAACATGATTTGATTCTCATTTGTAGACAGGAGGAGACTTTCTCCAAGGGGCTACAAGGGTTCCACCCCTCTGACCCCAATCCCATGGGCACAGCTTGCTCCTTTATGCTTTAGACTCTTCAAGTGGTTGGAAAAAGTGCTGTCCCAATCAAGACCTTGGTAACCACAGATTTTTCATGACTTGTTGAGAGGTCACAGGGTTCTGAGGAGGGACAGTCATTTATTAATTTGTTTATTTAAAATTTCTACTATGTACCGGGAACTTGGATGAGTGCTGCAGATACAATAGTGAATAAGACAGGTTGCCTGCCTTCAGGGAGCCTGCAATGCATTAGGAGAGAGACACAATAAACAAGTGAACACATAGGTGACATAATCAGAGGTTTTGGTAAGTGATAATAAATGAGTTATCTAGAGCATCATTTCTCAACCTTAGCGCTACTGATATTTTGGAATGGATAATTCTCTGTTGGGGGTGGGGGCTGTCTTGTGCATTGTAGGAGATTAATAACATCTCTGGCCTCACCCCGCTAGACACCAGTGGCACCGCCCCAATAGTGACAATCAAAACTGATGTCTTCAGACAACCCAAGCCTGGGGGGCACAGTCCGCCCCTGACTTGAGCATGAGCACTATTGATCTAGAGGAAGGTTCAGAGAATGACCCTAGCTAGGTTGGTCAGGGAAGGCTTCTCTGGAGAAGTGACATTTCAAAAGAATCCTGAAGCTGCTGTCTTGGCCGAGGGAAAAATAAATGCGAAGGTCCTGAGAGGAGACCAGTGAGGCTGAAGTCAAGTGAATAAAGAGAGAGGGAGGTTTCAGCTGAGGAGGGAATGGCATATGTTACATGAGGAAGGATCCTGCTGGTCATGGTGGAGTCAGAATTTTCCCCCAAGTCCAAGTGCAGGAGAAGCCACTAGAGGTTTTTTGTTTGTTTTGGTGGAGGGCATGATTAAATTTATATTCCAACTAATTCATTGGGGTTTCTGTGTGGAGGACAGATTTTAATTGGGCCGCAGTGGAAACAGTAGTCATGTTTTGGAGGCAGGGGTCTTTATGAAAGGTGATGGTGGCCTGGACGCAGGTGATAATAGTGGATGTGGCAAGAAGTAGATAGAGTTGAAGGGTAGAATCAATGACAGGGTTTGTCTGGGACAACTCCATGATACCAGTGTCATTTATTGATATGGAGACAGCTCACTGGGAGGAAAGCAGGGGCTGGTATTGGATCTGCTAAGATGTCAGCTAAACATCTGGAGCTCAGGGAAAGTTCTGCCAGAGATGCACATTTGAGTGCTATCAGCACAAGGACGGCGCTCAGAGCAGAGCACTTGGGGGAGATCACCTTGGCACATGAGAGAGGAAGTGAATAGAGGAGCCCCAGGCTCCCTGGGAGACTCCAACATTTAAGGATCAGGCAAAGAATACGACATCAGCGAAGGAGCCTAAGAAAGAATATCCAGAGAGTAGAAAGAAACCCAGGAGAGAGTGTAGTCAAGGAAGCCAGAGAGGAAAGAATGTTTCAAGGAAGAAAGAGTGGTTAACAGGGTAAAATGCTACCCAGAGATTGAATAATGGGTGACAGAGAAGAGTCGATTGGATTTGCAAACATAAAAATCACTGGTGACCTTGACAGTGCAGTTTCAGTAGAGTAGTAGGATCGAAGACAAACTAGGATGGAGAATCAAAGGGAGGCGAGGAAGAAGGGCCTGCAGGTGTAGACGATTCTTTTAAACCATTTGCCATAAAGAGGCGTAGACACATGAGTTGGTAGCTGGAGGAGGACATGGAGTCAAGGAGGTTTTTTTTCTTTTTGTAGATGAGCTTTCCTAAAACATGTTTATATGTTGATGGAAAAACATAGCAGAGAGACAGTTGAGGGTAGAGAAGAGGAAGAGAAAAAATGAATATGTTCCTGAGAAGGTGGGAAAGGTTGAGGCCGGGTAGAAAGTCCACATGGGAAGCTGATAGCTAAATGGTTAAGGTCTGACATTGATCCCTTTGGGGATTCGTTCATTTATTCGCCTAGTGGTCACTATTTGCATAACACTGGAACCACAGCCTCCTGGCCTTGCCCTTAGAAAACTCATGCTTTGGTGAAGGCCATAGTCATGTAGGGACAGGAAAGGTGGAAAAGATGTGCCTGGGTGCCAAGGACATTTCTGCTTCCTCTTCGTTTGGTGTGTAGGGCCCTCCTACTTCCCCACTGCTGACCCTGACAGTGGACATCAAGCTGAGACCTGGGCCTGGGAGGGAGCTCTGGATATGGGGCCCTTGAGACCTCTGAGATCACCTTCCCCTTGCTGCTGTGCCCTGCAGTTATGCCTCCAGCATGCCTGTCCCTGGGTGGGATGTTCAGTGGTGTGCTCGGGGCCACAGCTCTCCCCAGAGATCAAGTTCAGGGTGCCTGTAGGGTCAGACCAGGGCCCTGGGCTGCTCAGGGGGCCAGGGTGAGGGCCGTGCAGGTACTGAGGGTGGAGATCCTCTGGCAGTGAGGTGGGGCAGCTGGGTGGCTACATAGTACCGCCCTGGATGGCTTTCCAGGTGTATACTTACTCAGGGGTGGTGCCCCAATTTAAGATTCTGGGGGTGAGTAAATGGTGAGTAAGACAGATATGATCTCTGTTCTCATGCATTATGGTTCTAATGTAGAGACACTGATGACAAACACATAATCAAATAATCTAATAAGACAATTACAGATGGTTATTAAGGGCTGTGAAGGACATAAACAGGCGTTTGTGCCAGAGAGCAACTGGAGGGGAAATGCAGGGGCTGCTAACACAGTGGGGTCAGGGCAGGCTTCTCCGAGAAGGTGATTTTTGAGTGGAGATCTGAGGGATTGAAAGAAGCCAGGGATGAGTGTTTCACGTAGGAGGTCCAGTTGGGAATAAGCTTGGCATATTTAAAGACCAGAAGCAGGACAGTGTGACTGGAGCCCACAAAACAAGGGGAGTGTGTTCAGAGAAGGAGCCCTAGAGGCATCTGGTGGCCAGCTTGTGCAGGACCTTGAGGGTGGCTTCCAGTGATGTCTGGACATCACTGGATTTTATTGTCATAGCCAAAGGAAGCCATTGGAGGGTTTTAGGCAGGAGAGAGTGGTTGCAATAATGTAGATTGTTGAAGAGGGAAAGCAGGGAGGCCAGGTAGGAGGGGATGCTTGTTCTCCGGGTTAGAATAGGTGGTGGTTACCGGGAGCATTGATGTGTAGGCAAGCTGGGGTTGCCATCCTGTGCCAGCCCAGGCAGCAGCAGTAAAAATAGAAGCAGATAGGCTGGGGAGGGGTAGGATAGGAGGCCACAGGCTGGGGTTCAGCCACAATGGCCTGGACTCCCCAGTGAACTGGCTGGCTCCCAGGTGAAATCTCGCTCCTGGGAGTTAGCCCTTTTCTTAGTGGGGTAGCAGTGAAGATGTGCCCTTGATCTTTTCCTGTTAGGAGACACAGCATCTTTGCACCTGCAGAACACAGGTGTGTGCACAAACGTTCTTCATTCCTGGCACAATACTTTGGAATTGATCAGGAAGCCAGCACAGATGCTGTCGTCTTCCATCTGTTTGCTGCATGATCTGAATGTTCCTTTCTGTGGTCCCAGGGGTGGCCCCAGATGCGGGGCTGGTTCACCGTGGTCCTTGGCGCACAGCTGCTTGTAGGCTTGTGTGCTAACGTGCTGGCATGCTGGGGTCACCGGCACAAGCCGTCCCAACCCCTGGCTGCCTGGGGCTCTCAGGTCTGGCTCCCCAGGCATCTAGCACACTGTCCCCCACAACAGCTGTCAAGGGAGGGAGAGCCAGGTGACTTGGCTAGCGTGATCCCATGCGCTCCTTCCCAGCCCCCTTGATGCCTTAGCACCATGGAGCTGTTGCTCCAGACGGTTTGTTTATGATGCTAAACATATCAGATAATTGAAAGCTAATGTTGCTGTCTGGATCACTAGACATAATACGCCTGGATAACAAATCAATTTCCTCATTGCCCTACAAGGCTTCGGAGTCAAAAGCGCGGCACATTGTGCGTGTGTGTGCACACGTGCATTCATGCGTGTGTGTGCTCCAATGCTGACTTGTTAGGAAATGGAATTCCAGACTAGCTTCTGCAGGCACTAGCTGGAGAGAAGGGACACCTGTATGCAATCTTGTTTTTGAAGCTTTTGAATTTTGTGTTGGAGGAGTAGAGTACTCACATATAAAAAACATCCGGAGGCCTAGGCAGGCTGATTGCTTGAGGCCAGGATTTCGCAACCAGCCTGGCCAACATGGTATAACCCTGTCTCTACTAAAAATACAAAAATCAGCCAGGCGTGGTGACACATGCCTATAGTCCCAGCTACTCGGTAGGCTGAGGCACGAGAATTGCTTGAACCTGGGAGGCAGAGTTTGCAGTGAGCTGAGATCACTGCACTCCAGCCTGGGTGACAGTGAGGCTCTGTGTTAAGACACACACACACACACACACACACACACACACACACACACACACACGGGAAACATCAGCTTCAGCTGCCTCCTGCCAGTATTCTGAACATAATGATAGTGTCGTACGCTTAGGTACCGCCATGTAAATGTGAATTGTGACTGCACCTCCAGGAAAGCTTCACTTAACTGGCAACTTCAGTTATCCAAAAGGGGGAGCAAAACAAAGTCATATGAAAACAAGGGCAAATATCTGCCTATCTGTATGCATGTGCATGTATGTGTGTGTGAATGTTTTCATATTCCCTTAGATCCTATTTACGCTTACTTTACATGCATTTCTAACAATACAAATGGAATCAGCTATTTATTCCACTAGTGCCATGCATCCACAGTGAATTGAGGACTTAGGCATTACCTTCTCTAACCCTCACCACAACTAGTTTTGCTATGGAAAATCTGATGGCTGGAGAAGCTCTAGTAACTGGCCTGAAGGCATCTGGCTTCCGGTGCTAGCGTGTCATCTCCAGGTCAGCCTAATTCCAGGTGCCAGCTCTTACCTATTGGGCTCCAAGAGGCTGCAGAGGATACTGGGCACAGCACATTTGGGAGGGAGGAGGGGCCCTGGGGACAGCTTAAGAGGTGATGGCCTGCAGCCTAATATCAAAAAAAGAGCCAGAAAATAGTTAAAATGGATGCGATAACCGTTGGAATAGGAAGTCATATCAGGGTAGGGCCATTTGTAGTAGGGCTACAAATTCTGCATCCATCAAGAGCTTCTGAGGGTTTTGCTGTGCTACAGCCTGGCAGGCTCATTAGGCTGGTCGTATTGATGTAAGGTCATCAAGAAAATGTAAATCATGATCTGTCTACTCTGTTTAAAAAGGCAAGGATGTGTGTAATGCATTTTAGGTGGAAAAAAGAAACATCCAGCAGGGAAGTTGAAAATGCAAAGGGTTTTGCATTTAAATTTAGTTGTCTGGAAAATTTGGTTATGAAGAAGAGCTCATTAATAGCAGTGAGAAGTCACAGTGAAGATAACAGCAATCTGACAGCCAGAGAGGAGCGGGAAAAGCTTAGAAAAATGAGGCAATACTGGGCCTGCTACCTGTCGAGAAAGGAAGGATGTTCCTAAGTCCCACCGACCGAGTTCCTGTCTTGCCAAGTGCCCAGGGAAGTTCTGCCAGGTAAAGGGTGCCTTGTCCCTGTTGACTTCCTCAATCACCTTAGTCCTCTGGGGTTAGATGGTGGTGGGCGTCTTTGTGTTCTACAATTTTCTGCATAGGAGAGGAGTAAACATGAAACATTAAATATTGAAGGTAGAAACAACTCTTAAACATATCCACATGACATATTTTTAATTAAAATATGGACCACACATTCTGTACCATCCAATTTTGGAATGCTTGGAGATTGCCAATTCGTTTATCATACTGGCCCAAGCAAAACAGAAGGAAGAAGAGAAAACTGGGGTACAAAAGTACCATCTGGTTGGCAATGGTGGCTCACGCCTGTAATCCCAGCACTTTGGGAGGCCGAGGCAGGTGGATCACCTGAGGTAAGGAGTTTGAGACCAGCCTGGCCAACATGGTGAAAACCTGTCTCTACTAAAAATACAAAATTAGCTGGGTGTGGTGGCACATGTCTGTAATCCCAGCTACTCGGGAGGCTAAGGCAGGAGAATTGCTTGAACCTGGGAGGCAGAGGTTGCAGTGAGCCATTGCACCCCACTGCAGAGGTTGCAGTGAGCCATTGCACTCCAGCCTGGGTGGCAAGAGTGAAACTCCATCTCAAAAAAAAAGAAAAAAAAAAAAGGAATTGCAATCTAATTTATTCTAGCACAAAGAATGTTTGTAGTCCCCATGAATGTATCAATTAATATTTAATTTATGCCATGTCCCATTATAAAAATGGCTATGAAGCAGCTATCTGTGGTCCTAGGTCTCTGGGACCTGGTGTTGCTGTTATGAGTCACTAAGAGTGGGTATGTTTCAGACTGATTTTTTAGAATTGCCAAAGAGACTCTGCATGGCCATTCCCTGACTCCATTTCCCTTCTAAGCCCACCTGGCAGCATCATGAGATCTTGATCCCAGGGGTCTACCTTGACATCACTGAGGTTTTTGAGTTCCTGCCCTAAGCCCGACTCTGACTCTGGAGGTCAATGTCATCATGTATTATGCCCCACTGTCTCCCTCCGTCTGGAAAAGTGGTGCCCAACTAGCTCTTGGCAGAGTAGTGGCTCTGTGGAATGGAAGGGCAGTGGTGAGAGGGTAGGAGCAGGGCATTGAGCTGATTTTCTGAATGGAGCATTTCACATTTCTATGGAATGAAGAGGCATGAGAAATCCAGGAGAGGAACTTTCAGTGGAGAGAAAAGGCTCTTGGCCAGTGGGTTCCAGCCAGAGATGGTGAGAAGAGACCACTGTTGCATCTGGAATGTGTAGCCTGGCTTGGGCCACGGTCCAGCAGGCCAACACACCCCTCATTTCCTCTCAAGAAATGCCTGTGACTTGAGAGGGTCCTGGGAGCTGTGGCTTGCCCATTTTTTCCTCTCACCTGGACTCAGTGACCTAGAGGTAGACTTTTTTGTATTGGCCTGAAGCCTGGTAGTGTTTGCTGCAAAGCAGTCATTTTCAAAATTGATGTTGTTTTAAGCCATGAGACTCTTGCTTTAATAGCCCTCTTAGGCAGAAGCTTTATATAATAAAGCAGGATTTCTCAATCCTGGTGCTGTGGACATTTGGGGCTGATGATTCTTAGCGGTGGGGGCTGTCCTGTGCATTGCAGGATGTTTAGCAACATCTCTAATCTCTACCCACTGTAGGCCATTGTTACTCTCTTTCCCCAGCTGTGACAATCAAAAATGTGTCCAGATATTGTCAAATGTCTGCTGGGGGGCAAAATCGCCTCCCTTTGAGAACCAATGTATTATGAGACTAAAGTGGAGGTAATTTATTTAAAGTAGGAGTGGGCACCTGATGTGCCACCCCTTTGCCCTCTTTCTCCTCCCTCCACTCTCTGTTTCTGATTGAACCAGGACACCCAGATTGAGAGCAGAGCTGCAGGTTCCTGTGGGGGCCATCACCATGCACTCTGCAGAATTGCACAGTCCCTTGGGCATTGCTATAAATTCTTTTCCTCCACAGCGGGAGTGGGTTTGTAAGATGTCCGGGCAGGGATGAGCTGGTCCAGCCTGTGGTCCTGGAACAGGGAAACCAGTCACCGCCCCCACAGGGTTTAGGTGCCTGGCCTGCCTCTAGAAGTTAATAGGTATTGATTTTTTCTTTTTTTTTTTTTTGAGACAGTGTCTCATTGTGTTGTCCACACTGGAGTGCAGTGGTGTGATCTCGGCTCACTGCAGCCTCGGCCTCCCAGATTCAAGCGATTCTCCTGCCTCAGCCTCCTGAGTAGTTGGGATTACAGGCGCCCACCACCATACCTGGCTAATTTTTGTATTTTTAGTAGAGACAGGGTTTCCCCATGTTGGCCAGGCTGGTCTCGAACTCCTGACCATGAATGATCCACCCGCCTCAGCCTCGCAAAGTCTGTTTTGCAGGCAGTATTGATTGATTTTCAAATGACAAAACAAATGCTCAATGAAAACAACCTGTACAGCCCAGAAAATCACAAAAAAGGAGAAGCCACGTGTAATCGTTCTGGGTTGAGATACTCACCATTGACAAAGGCAAACCAAACCTGCTCTTTTACTATATATATATAATATTTTCTAGAGCCTGCCTTTTTCACTGAAAGTGGTGGTCTCCCTAGTAGCACACACACACCAGCCGGCAGAGTCACAACACTGACCTCCTGGTTGGGTACCAAGTGGTGAGTCATAGGAGAACTTGGCAGGTGCCCAGCTGATGCCATCCGGAAATGTCAGGGCCTCATCTTCATCCTCTTGCTCTTCCTCGGAACCTGCTCTGATGTGGCATCTATGCACTCCTTGAACCTGTGTATAAACTCCTGCTGGAACAGTTTTCCTGGAGGCCATGAATGACAGGTTTCCTTCCCCTCCACACTCTGCCACATGGGGTTTTTATCAATGATTGCTGAGACATGACAACTTCCAGCAGAAGCCTGATACCATTTTTAGCTTGAAAACTGAGAACAAGACTGCTCAGTTTCCGTAAGGCACAGGAGGAAAATAATCAGCACAGCCAGCTCTGCCTGAGAACTTACATGTGCCCCACACTGCAAAGGGGTTTTCTTTTTTATCATAGTCTTTTGATCTTCACATCATTCTTACGAGGCAGTTATTTTATTATCCCCATTTAATAGATGAGAAAACTGAGGCACAGACAGAGAAGTAACCTGGACAGGGTCATATAGATAGGGGTACTGGTGGGGCCAGGATATGCATTTTGACCATCAGCTCCTAGGGCAGGAGTCGACAACTGTTTTCTGTAAAGGGCCAGAGAGTAAATATTTCAGGTTTTGCAGGCCATATGGCCTCTGTAGCAACTATTCAGCTCTGTTATTGTAGCTTGAAGAGAGCTATAGATGACAGTAAATGAACAGGTATGAACATGGAAATTTGAATTTCATGTAGTTTTCATGTGTTACAAAATATAATTCTTCTTTTGATTTTTAAAAATGTAAATGCTATTTTTAGCTCTGGGGCTGCAGGAAAGCAGGCAGCGGGCTGTAGCTTGACGACCACTGCCTTAGAGCCCTGACTCCTACCCACACTGTTGCACTGTGGCTACAAAAATGCCATTCCCTGATTTAGGAAAACTCAGACCTACTCAACGGAGGAGGTGGGGACTATTATTCTACTTACCGGAGGACTCTTTGCAGCAAGGAGTTCATTCATTTCTCTGCCATATCTCAGTGCTTGCCTAAGTCAGGGAAGGGTCCGTTTGTGGGCATAAGGACATGAGGGCTGAGAAGGGTAAGGCTTGAGAACATGGTAATGATTGACAACTCAACCGTAACAACACATTTATGGAATTCTAATGTGGGCTGTGAAAAATGATTTCAGTGATTTAAACAATTGGATAAAAGTTGCTTGTTGGGAGCAGATCCTTGTAGGAAGCTGGAGTCCTGTGAATGAGAAGTATTCTGTACAATCATGGTGATCTACTTGGTAATTTACAAAACCCGGGGAATACACTGGGGGACCTGGTGGCACAGATAGTTCTACTCCTCTGGCGCTTTCTTTTCATCTGAAATGTTGCCAGGTTCTCTGCCATGGTGAGACCAGACCACCCAAACTGCCCTGGGGCTGTAAGGCTTCCAGGGAGAACTTTGGCATTGGAATCCAACACCAACCTGGCCACCTGGTCCATGTCCCCAGCAGATGCCAGTGTCTCTGGCTGCTCAGCAGGGACTTTGGGAGAATGTGGTACAAAACAGGTTCTCAGCATACCTTGTCACCGTGTGGCTCTGAAATGCTTCCAGAGGCCCTGGCAGTCATAGTCCTGCTGCCTTGCTGGCTCTGACTCGAGTTGGTGGCAGATGGCAGAGCTACGGGTGTGGTGGTGCTGGGGAGGAGATGTCTGGGGAAGGTGGCTGTCACTTTTCTGGACAGAGTGTGCCTGGGTTAGTTCTGTCCCAGGATGAGCTGTCACCTCTCTGCACTCTTCACTAAGATTGAAGTACTTAGAATTCATGGCCACTGATCAGAGTAAAATCCTGGGAGGATGGGGTGGGCAGTGGAAGGCCTTTTCCCGAGATCCTTTGGTGCCTCTTGGGATCACAGGTGTGTATGAATGGGCACATTCATACACCTTTAGAGCTGCAAAGGGCTTTGATAATTAATAGTGTAATGGTTCTCAACCTGGGGATCCCAAAAGCAGTAATGAGGGGTGTTTGTTTCTGGCATTTGGTCAATACAAAAACAATAAACCCAGAAATCAGATCCATACCCATGACAAGCCTTCTCATGCTGACAGAATGTTGAGTTTCTTTGCTTTGGGCTGGAATTTATGCAGTGGATGAGTTAGCACGGGTTTGTGTCTGTTGATAAAAAGCTCTGGTTAATAGTGATTTATATTGCTGATTAATAAATCCAAGAAGATGAATTAATTAGTAGTTAATAGATGTAGTGTGCTTGCTAGATATAAACCTCCTTAAACATGGGATCTCTTGGGGCAAAGTTCTAAAAGGAGACCTTCATGATGAAAAGGGGAGAAACTGCTGATCCAGTGCAACTCTCCTCTTTTACAAATGAAGACATGAGAGACTCAGAGAGGTGGAAGCACTGGCTCAAAGTCACTGGGTCCTGAAGTCTCAGATGAAGCTAGGGTTTGTGTCCTCCACTGCCAGGTTCCCATTCTTTCCATGACACTCTAGTGGCTCCAGGATCCTTAGGTGGCCCCCACTCTCTGGAGTCAGCTCCACCAAATCAAGCCATTGGTTTTTTGAGCTCCAGGAGGGATTGGGCTGTGGGTCACCCAAAGGGGGCTTCCAGAGTCTAGACCCTGGTGATGCTGGAAGTAGGAGTGTGTCCCTCCTTGGCTATGCCCACTGGCCAGCCGGCCACCCCGTCCTTTTTTAAAGCCATGTCATTTGTATTGTCTTTATGGGCAATAACTAAGGGAAAAAAAAGGCCAGTCCTTAGGAAATTCTGAATAGGAAAAAGAAAGAAGGGGAACAGAGGAAAACTGAGTTAGGAAGACAAGCAGGGAGATTGAACTTCACGTCTTTAGCATCTTTTTCTAGCTGATGGGGAGACATTCAATGCAATCCATGGGCCAGGAACTTGGATCCAATGAATCCAGTTAATTCTTGCAACAACCCAATCAGGCAGACGGTGTGAACCCCACCACGCAGAGGAAGAAACTGAGGCTCAGATTTATTTGGTGACTTGGCAAAAGGCCTGGCAATCAATTAGCTCATCGGGGATCAAAGCCAGGTCTCTGTGGCTCCAAAGCCAGCCCCATTTCTGTTGCTTCTGGCTGACCGTTACCTTTCCTCCTCCCCTGCAGACACATAGAGAACTGGCGCAGTCTTCACACGCTCAACGCCGTGGACATGGAGCTCTACACCGGACTTCAAAAGCTGTGAGTACACCCGGCCACAGAGAGGCCTTTCCCTGTGGAAGGGGTGGATGCCACCTGGTCTGCCTTCTGGGGTGGCGTGAGGGGCACAGCAAGACTGCCATCCGTGCTTTCTCCCCCAGGTCTTCTTTTGGTAGAGTTGGCAATATGCACTTAGGGGACACCAGAGGCTTCAAAGGCCATCTCTTCACACCCCTTTGTCTCACCCTAGTCTAGAGAGGCAAGGGGGTTGTGTGAATTCCCATCTTGAAGGTAGGGTTTCAAGGCAGGCCTAGAACCCAGGCATGCTGGGTGAGTGTCCTTTCCCTACCCTTATGCTTGACTGATGAGCCCCATGGAGTATGAGATTTCCCAGCTACCTCCACCCTTGGATGTCGGTACTAGTGACTGTGGGGACCTGGAGTGGGGAGAGGGACAAGGAACAAAGAGGGCTGCAGCCCTGCCATTACTGGACCAGCAGAAGCCCTGGTCCTTACCTACTGGCCAGGATGGGTGGAGGGCAGCTGCCAGTATGACCCCTGACCTCCCAGCCTCACGGGGCCCTGGGGCGTGTGAGCCCAGGTGCCTCCACTGAGCAACCCCAGCAGGCCACCTGTGATAACTGGCAATGAAGAGGTGTAGATAATCCACAGGGCGGCTGCAGGGCCAGCCTTAGCCTCACCCCCTGCCAGCCTCAGCCCAGAGCAGATATCCCTCTGCCACTTGAGCTCTGCTGATCCTCTTTTTCTCTCTGTCTAGGACCATCAAGAACTCAGGACTTCGGAGCATTCAGCCCAGAGCCTTTGCCAAGAACCCCCATTTGCGTTATATGTGAGTAGAGCTGGGCTGCAGGGATTGGGGGCACATGGCAGGTACTCTTGGGGCAGTGAAACCGGAGACCTGAGGTCTAGACCTGGCTTTTTGCCTCCAGGGGCTCTTGGGCAAGGTTTTGAACTTTATTGGGCTTCCAATTTTGCCTCTTAAAAGGATTATTTTGGGTTTGATGATCTCTAAGTTTCCTGTCAGAAGGAAAAATCTAGGACCAGGGGCTGAGAGGGAGAGTCAGTCTCCTGACACCCAAGTGTGTTCACTTTCATGATGAAACTTGCAATTTTATGGGAACGTAAATGATAGGGAATTCCACTCATATGTAATGTGAATACTATACTTCTGAGACCATAAGTAGGCCCATAAGAGTGTGTATGTGTGTTAGGACTGGCGGGGGGCGGGGGGGGGTTGCAAGAAGAAAGAAAGTATGGCTAATAGCCAGTGTTATGTCTAAATAGATCTGGGTTCAGTGGGGAAAAGCTCAGAGAAGTGGAAACACCTGTGTAATGTCACACAGCTTTGTTTGGGACAAGCTAGAGGTCAGGTGGTTATGGGTGGGGGTTCCTGTCTGTGCCTCCTTCATCCTGTCTCTCCCCTTTCCCTAGTGGGGATAGAATCACAAGAGTTGATGCTTCCTCTCTAAGCCGAGTTCTGGGCTGATAAACTTTGGGATTTAATGAGGACTGCCATTTCCTGGGGAGAAAGTGGGCATGAAAGGAAGCCTGGGGTGAGTGATTAGGGGAAGTGCCAACCTGCTGCACCTGTAGAGGGGTATTTGTTGTCTGGGTCAACTCCAAGGATAGTGGCCATCTCGGACACCCTTTGGGCATGTTCCCAAAGAGCAGAGGCTCTGCAGGAACCAGGTGGGGAGGGGTCTATTGCCTTTGGGGAGAAAGTGGAGAAGTGGTGTGCTATGGGCTAGTCTTTCCTGTGGCCACTTAAAAGTTTCACTGACTGAGCACTTTGCATTTGGTAACGGAGGGCAGCTGGGCTGGAGAGAAATTGCATGCACCGGGGCAGAACATCCAGGGGAGCTGTGGGAAGTGGAGGGTAGGGAAGGTGGGGAAAGGGAAGAGATCACAGTGAATCCTGGTGGAGGAGTTGTTTTTTCTTTTTTGGGGGATCCTGACCTTACCCCCAGGCTCTTTGTGTTTTCCCAAGCACATAGTGAGTGCTTGATAAATATTTGTTTATCAGTATGGCCACCTCTGCTTTCTGCGGAGCTTTCTTTTCTCTCTCTGGAAAGAACAGGCTCTGTGGTCACTGTTCAGGGCCAGGTGTATCAGCCCCAGGGGACTGAGACCTCCCTTTCAGCTGCCTAATTAACTGTTGCCCCTTGCCCCAGGGTAGCCTCTGTGGTGAGAGTCTCCTGATGTGTGTTCTTTGCAGCTGGAGGCATAGCTGGGACCAGAGGAGGGTCTTGGACCAGATGTTCCAGGTGTTTATTTTATTGGGGGTTTGAGTTTCACTGTAAAACATCCTAAGGGAAAAAGCTTTTGACATCTGAGAAGTCTCCGTTTTCATAGTAATTCATACAAGGGTCACAAAGCCAAATGCCCATGGTGGACCAGGTGGGGTCACGTGTCCCCTCCAAAGAGGCAACCAGTCATCAGTTCCAGCTGAGTGATGCCACGTGGAGGTGGGGCCTGGTGTGGTCAGACTTGTTTCCAGAAGACTTGGAGATTCCGTGAAACAACTCAAGTTTTAAATGCTGCCGACTAAAAACAAGACCTTTCAACTCCATGGGCCAAATGAAACTACTTCTATGAGCAGAATGTGGCACACAGAGTGCCAGCTTGTGGTGCGAGGTCGTATTTGGGGGAGGGATGCTGTTGATGCGAGACAAACCCTGTTCTCTTTGAGGACAGGGGCTGGGTGCTCAGGCCTCAGAACCTTCTAGGGCACGGTGTCCCTGCAGCTCTTAGGGAGATGGAGAGGCTTCAGGACCCAGGCTCAGGAGTGGGAGCAGGGTTACATCTTGGGCTGCAGGTGGCTCTGAAGTGGGTTGTACCAGAGCATGTCTTTGGCTTGCCCTTGAGGATCCTGGAAGAGGGCTGTGACCCACTGTCTCTTTTGGAATGATATGGGGTCTGCTGAGTGGTGGCAGCGATAGAGGCTGGTGGAGGTTTGCAAGATTCCCAAGGCTTTGTGGGTAGGAGGACCTAGTTGGAGGAGGACCCAAGGATACCATTGAACCTGCCCATGACTTTGGGCCCTGTTTTCTCCTGGACACATTGGCCAGCTCTTGCCAAAGTACTTGTTATTGGCTACAGGGTGATTACCGAGAAGGATGGATGACCATTAGTTTACCCCCAATTTGAGTCTGTCTGTGCATTAGGGGCAAGTCAGGGTGCTCAACCTAGTTCAAGAAAGTCAGCACCCAGTCAAGTGGCTCTCATAGGCACAGTGGGATGCCCAGAGGAGCCTGGGGGTCGCAGAGAGACGAGTCAATAGGATGAGGCAGAAGCACTGGCTTTATCCACGGGTTTTATTTATTAACTTTTCTTATTTATGAAGACACACACCAAATTCCCAATTGAGTAAATTTCCCGGCAGCTTTGGGACATTTTCTCCTGGCAAATGGGCCAGGTTTCTTTGCTGTCTCACAACATCTTCTATTTCTGTCCTCTAAATGCATTTACAAGTCTTCTGGCCCCAGCTGAGCAATCACAAGATGATCACTTACTCCAACACTAATTGCCGAGCCCTGGCTTGGTGGCTTTTTTTTTTTTTTTTTTTAGGGTAATGGCTGAGAAGTCTTTTCTTCTTTCCTCTGTATAAAATAAGAAGTAGGAAGTGATATCATTGCCCCTAGTACTGATGTCAGATTGGTCAAGTTGTTCTGATTGGTTGAACTGTCTCCCACCCCTAAGCTACTGTTGCGTTAATCAGTGTAATTCTTCCTCATGCCAGAAAATGAATTGACAAAGTTTTGGCCAAGTTGTCTGCTGTACAGTAGGCTGGAGATTAGGACTCTTGGGCCTTACGTCATGGTTTATGAGTGACTGACCATCTCCTCTTGACTGCTTTAGTTTTCTCTACCTTTTGTAGATTGCGGAAAATGAGATATGGATGAATACATATCAAGGGAAACCCTTTTTTGAGAGATGGGAATATTTTCCACCCTTGTATCCCTTCTCTGATCCTAAGAATTCTGGATTAAGGATTTTTAAGGATAAGGATTTCTGAGATTGATAATTGCAATAGCTGTATGCCAATCTGAAAAGTGGGCATAATAATAGTGGCTATTCTAGGGATGGGATGTGGTCAAGATTAAACGATAAGAGGCACATACAGCTCTCAGCCCAGTGACCAGGAAATAGTGAGCGTTCAGAGAGAACAGTTGCTAGTAATGATAGTAATTATTGTTATTATTCCTGGTGGTGATGATAGAATCAAAGAGAAGGGGTTAGGTGACCTTGATGGGTATTCTGACCACTTCTTTGTCCTGAAAAAGCTGAATTTCTGTCTCACAGTGGAGCCCACCTCTCTGGTGACTGGAATACTCATATTCTCCAGCGTCTTTCTTCATTGTACACTGATGAATAAATTCGGATAAGTTCTCTATTCTCCTCTTTTATCCCCTTGCTCTAGACTGTATGTAGGCCTCTCTGTAGATGCTGTCAGTTTCAGAAAGGAGTTAAGGAACTGAAACTGATGAGCTGACAACTTTCTTTATTTCCACCTGAGTTGAGATCTCCTCCACCAGCATTATTGAACTTGGGTTGTTCTCAGAGTCCTCTGAGCCCAGCTTCTGCAGCTGGCCCCTCTTTCCCTTTATGGGGTGTGTTTTCTCTGGCATGGCTCACACAGACTGGATCGCCACAGTCTGGGATCCCCATACATGAAGAATGTAGACGTCTGTCTGAGCTGCACTCAAACAATGGTACTTCCTTTCACCTGTAGAGCTCTTCGTGGTTTTCAAAGTGCTTTTCCATACATTATCTCATTGAATTCTCATAACCATCCTTGGGGCAGGGGTATGGTAGGTGGCTTTGTTTTACAGCACGGAAGATAGGCCCAGAGAGGCTCTGACTTTTAAGTAGCAGAAGTAGAACTGTACCTAAATCCTCTGATTCTCTTTCCAGGAATCTTTCCACTATAGCTCATGGGCCAGAAGAGGCAATGTTTTTTCACAGAAGCAATTTAAAAAGTTACTATGTTTTGCTAGTCATTACTATGTTTAGAAAACCACATAAAACTGCTGGTATCAGAAAAGAAGAGGGAAAGGCTAATCTGGTTGAGAACTTCCTGTGTGCCAAGAACTGTGCCTGGTGCATTTGCAAATATGAACTCACTTACTCCCCACAGTAACTCTAAGTTAGGAGTCCTCTCTTCCCATTTCATAGATGCAAACATTGAAGCTCAGAAGTTATAACTGAGTTCTCCTAAGGTTATACAGTAAGTTAGTGGAAGAATCAGGATGTGGACTCTAAATCCTTTGAATCTGAAGTCCGTGTACTTTTTTACGTCCCAGGAGCGTTTTTTCTCTCTGGTTTTCACAGCAAGAACTTCTTATAGGAGAGGTGGGCATCTTTAAAGTTCCGTGAAAGAGCTGCTCTTTCCCCCTGGGGATTCAGCACGCTCCATCCTCAAAGAGCTCTGTTGAGAAAGCTCTGTTTAGTTCCTCTTTCTATTCAGGTCAAATCCTATAATGACAGTTACATTACAACCTGAATATCTTTATTATGAAAGATTTCTTAGCATTAGCCTATGGCCTACTTATTTCCAAGAATATTTAATGTAAGATTCCAGCAAGCCAAGAGAATTTATTTAATCCCTAGAGTTGATTGTGGTGGGATCTCTCTTGGGCTCCATTTCTTGCTCTTTTCCAAAAAGCTCTGGATGCCGGACTAAGTTATTTCTCCTTTTGGAAGCAAACGTGCACTCAATCTTTAGCTGGGAGAGTCAGCCATCAGAGTGGGGTAAAAGATGGAGAATGTCCTGATTTGAGCATGATTGTATCAACTGTGTTATGTTTGCAAAGAGAGGAAGTCAGTGATGCTGTGCGGATAGGAAAAGAAGAGGTGGCTAGGATCCCTACCCTTTCAGGACACTGACTGCATAGGTAATAAATTTCTCTTGAGATTATTGAGGTGAAAAAATGGTGACATGGATTTATTATGTATTATAAATTACTCAATGTTCTTTCTCCTTGGAATAACCCCAGATTCTGAGTTTCAAGATGACATGTAGACAGTATCTCAGTAAATTTTTGCTTTTCTGCCTTCCCCCTTACCTCTGCACTGAGACTTTTCTCCAAGTCCCAAAAGGATTGGCAACTGGCACACTGGTCTCCCTCACTGCTTCTCCACAAGTATCCTCCTTCTTCTGTTCTTTGTGGAGGACTTAGCCATGAAATGCTGGATAGCTGACAGTAAGGAGCATGGGCTTTGAAGATAGAAAGATCAGGGTTCAAATCCTAGATCTTTCACTTCCTGCTGTTGACCTTAGGCAAATTATTGAACTTCTCTGAGCTTTGAAAGGAAAATAAGAGTTCCTACTTCATAGGATTGGTCTTAGCCTTAAATAAGACAACGTCTGGAAAGTGCTTAAGACAATGTACTATGAAAGACTCAATATATATGTTTTTGCTATTAAAGATTTCCTCCCAACACATGTTGGTCTCCAATTGTTTAGAATCATAGATAGTTAAAGCTGGAAGAGTCCTTAGAACCAACTCCCAAATTTGTATTCCTATCGTGCCCTTTAGTTTCCTATATCAAACTGCCTACTTGCATGCCCCAGTCATGAGTCAACCTTAAGCTGGCCAAGACAGGATTCTTGATTTCATACCAAGCCCTTCCTCCTAACCTCTTCTTCCTCAATGCTTCTTGTTCTTGTAAGTGGTACCATCCATCAAATTGCTCAGGCCAAAACCTTGGGAGACATTCTTGATGCCTCTCTTTCCTTTACCTGCCTACTCCCTTCTTCTGACATTCAGTTTAATAAATTCATAAAATATTTTGTATCCATCTGCTTGTTTACCCTTTCCATCCTCATATCTATTGTCTTGGTCCAAGTCATCATCCCCTCCTCTGACACTGTGACAGTAGCCTTCTAACTTAGGTTTTCCACACCTTCACTTTTGTCTGCTACATTTCATTGTCCACACAGCTGCCAGAGTGATATTTTAAACATATAAATCCGATCATGCCACTTAGCTGCTTAAAGCCCTCCAATTACTTCTTGCGTTACTTACAATAAAAGCTAAGCCCCTTTCCATGGCCACAGGACTCACATGGATATAGTTTCTGTCTCCCTCTCTAATTGTCTTGTACTTTTCCCCTTGTTCTCTCTGCCGCAGCCTTACAAGCCTTTTCAGTCCCTTAAATGTGCCAAGCTCATTCCCACATTGGAGTTTTTGTCCCTGTTGGCCCATCTGACCCAAACAGATACCCTGCCCTGGATCTTGGCATGGCTGGCCCCTTCTCATCATTCACCCAAATGCTACTTTCTTAGCAAGGCCTCCCTTGACTACTCAAACTTTGTGGCCTTCCTTCTCCTTACAAATAGATCACATTTTATTCCGTCATGTGGCTGAATAATTTCCTTCGCCTTTATTACTATTGATCATCTGCAAGTATCTCATTCAGCTATTTAAGAGTTGATACTCTATCTCCCGCACTGGAATGTAAACTTCCGTGGAGCAGAAATTTTCCCTGCTATATCTCCAGCACTCAGAACAATGCCTGTTATATGCCAAGTGATTGGTAGTGATTTGTTGCATGTACAAGTGACTCTAGTCTGACTTGATCATTTTCTGGATGACAAGAAGGATATCTTGAGTGGAAGAATTCTGACCAAGATCTCCATGGGTAAGAGCTGAGCCAGGACTAGAATGTGGGCCTTGGTACGCTCTGTGTGACATTCCTCCCATCATATTTATCCTGTCTACTTTCTTTGGGTCTTACCTAGCCAGGGATCCTCACACTTCTATGTATGGTAGAAACTATTGCAGCCCTGTTTAAAAGAAGGGACATATGGGCCGGGCACAGTGGCTCACGCCTATACTTCTAGCACTTTGGGAGGCCGAGACAGGTGGATGATGAGGTCAAGAGATCGAGACCATTCTGACCAACATGGTGAAACCCCGTCTCTACTAAAAATACAAAAATTAGCTGGGCATGGTGGCGCTTGCCTGTAGTCCCAACTACTCAGGAGGTTGAGGCAGGAGAATCACTTGAACCTGGGAGGCGGAGGTTGCAGTGAGCTGAAATCATGCCACTGGGCTCCAGCCTGGTGACAGAGTGAGACTCTGTCTCAAAAAAAAAAAAAAAAAAAGAAGGGGCATATAGGCAAATATTACATGCATATCACTTATATTATTGGAACGTACAAATATAAATAGTACAGAATCATATCGCAGTATCACCCTGCTGAGGTGTGATACAAAAATGTACAGTGAAGGTAGGTCGCCTCTTTGAGATTTCTTCTCATTCAGTTCTTCTTGCTCAGAGCTTCCATCAAACATCCTGCTTAAGCTATTGCCTCTAACCCACCCTCATCACTAATTTGGTTATTTCGATAAGTAGTTGAGAATATGTGCTCTTGAACCACATGGCCTGACATTCGATTCTGGCTTTATCACATATATCTGTATATCTTGGGCAAGTTACTTAACATATCTATGCCTTAATCTCCTCATTTGGAAAATGGGAATAATATGGTTGTTAGCAAGATTAAATGAATTAATGTATATGAAGAATTGAGGAGAATGTCTGGCCCATAACAATGACCCAATATATGTTAGTGGAGATTGCTGTTATTATTCTTTAGAAAATTGGAACGTACAAATATAAATAGTACATATAGCAGATGATCAATATCAATATCATCTAAAATTGATATTCTAAAATGGATCAATTTGATTCTAAAATTGATCATTATCATGATGAAAATATTCTAAAATTGATCGTCAGTATTCTAAAATTGATTCACAACTCTGTGAATATATGAAAAACTTTTGAATTGTACATTTTAAGTGAATTGTGTATATCTATTGCTCTATCTCTTTATGTCTCTCTCTCTCTCTCTCTATCTCTCTGTGTCTATCCTGTGTTCCTTCTTAGAAGATGCTTTCAGAGCCTGTGTGGGGCCTACTATGTCTCTTTTCCTCTGCCGTGGGGCAAAGGATGTTACTGTTCCAGATGGAGGCTGCTCCATTAGCTGGCGTCTTGTTGGGAAGATGATGGGAGCAAAGCCACAGCTGACCTCTGTTGACATGTAGTGGGAGAGAGAAATACACTTTTACTGTGGCTAAGAAAAAGAAAGAAAAGATAAACCAGGAATGACAGAGGCTGTAATCAGTGTATGCAGTAGATAGGCTACTGGGGGTGCATGAAACTTGGTGTCTAATCTATTACCCAATTCTTTTCTGTCCTACTCAAGACAGGGTCTCAGAACACAAATGAGAGAGATGTTATTACAGGGAAAGTTTTGAACCTCCTCTAATTTAAGTATAAGGAAGTAAATGGTGAGTGGTGGTTCTTCATCAGTGGCTATGGGTTGTTGGTGACACAGCTCACACCTTTGACAGATTGCAGAAACGGCTGACATTCTCCAGGGACTTCCAGCACAAGGCAGTGGAGGTGCCGCTGGAGGGCTCTGAGCAGGGCTGCTGACCCGAGATGGGCGGGAATGGCTGGGCAGCCTTATGGAGCAGGTGACAGCTGGCCTGGCTTTGGAGGAGAGTGGGCTTGGGTTGGCAGACAGCCTGCTTATGGCACAGGGCTGCAGCTTACCATGGGGTGTGCACAGCTGTTTCCCCCTGGACTTTCTGCTAGAGCTGTTTGGACATGTGCTGATGGGTACAGGCCACTGAGCCTGTTTATCAGGTATACTGAAAAAATTGCCAAGGGAACAGCATTTGGAAATGGAGCCATTTGTCCACGGAATAGGATTTTCACAGAGTGAATGATGTGGGAGGCTTGAGTCAGGACTATATGCAGTGGTGTGTCTGGGTGGAGGCCAGGAGGGAAGATGCTGGGCTTTGGGTCCATATGAGTATATGGGAGGGGCTGGTGGGGATGGCTGTCAATCATTAGAGGTATTTTTTGGCTGCAGCAGGGATAGGTGGCCACATCTTGCACATCCCTTTGGCTCTTTCTTGGCCTTATGCTGTGACGTTGGATAAGCTATTTAACCCATTTGGTCTGTTTTCACATCTCAAACATGAGACAGTGTTATAAGTGGCCCAATCCTGACCTCATAGCATTTTGGGAAATTCTTCCTGGAAGAAAGGTTGCATCTGAGACACAGCTGGGGCCACTGAGGGGCAGGACCAGAGGAAATCTGTTGTCTATTTGTTTTAGTTTTACCCACTTTATTCTACTCCCCCATCTCACCTCCCTGGAGGGGCAGGCATTCCAATGCAGTGAGTTCCAGGGACATAATATCAGTGAAGCACTGACTATAGACCAAGCATTCCTCTATGCACTTTATATGTCATTTCATGCTCATAATAGCAAGTGGACATCATTGTTGTCCCCATTTTACAGATGGGGAATTTGAGGCACAGAGAGGTTGAGTGACTTGCCTAAGGTTTCATAACTGCTAAGTGGCAGAGCCAGAAACCAACTCCAGGTTGCTTGCCTCTAGAGCTCCAGAGCCTCCACTCTACCATCTCTTGGCCAAGGCCAACTCTGGTCAGCCTTGGCTGTTTTCAATTCAGGAACCCAGCTGGAGAAGAGAGGGAGGCAGTAGGCTTCAGAGCAGCACTCCTCAAAATGAAGGGCAGATGGAGGGGAAGGCCCATGGGAGACCACGAAGGGAGTGCCTGAAACCATGTCCTGCTTTGCACCTGGTTGCTAGCAGGGTCTGGGTGAATGGGCAATGCCCCTTAGCCTACTGGCTGGCACTGGGGAGGGCCATTAACAGATGATTACACAGAGTGGGTATTTAGCATAGAGAATGGAGCCTGATGATCGAGCAGGTGGAGATGAATCATGCTGTGATATGTCGATGCAGGAGTGGCAGATTTCTATTTTCCCCATTTCCAGGGAGCATGGGGCTACACCAGCCCTGGATGTCTTTGGCCCATTTCGGGCAGGATTATGACTGTAGGTGGCACACCCTGTTATAGAATGGGAAAGAAGGGGATATGGGCCAGAGTAGATAAGCTCCAAGGCTCTGTCTGCTCTAACATCCCAAAATTTTGTGCCTATGTGCGCAACTTCAACATCTGACACCTCCTAGTACAATCCAGCCATGCTATTTCTGTAGGTGTGCCTGGGTCCCCGCATTCTTTCCATATCCCAGCCCCTATGGCACATGATAACACTGAGTGGCGCCTTTATTGTCCTCTTTTAAATGGATCCTTCCTGCTTTTATTGAACTCCAAATGTGTTATTGAACCCCAAATGTGTTTTGCACCGCAGAATTCACCAAGCTTCAGATTTTCAATGGATATTTCTTAGTTTCTACTCTCATATCTGCTGCCTCCAAAGAAAGTAAATTCCCAGTCCCCTCATACCATTAGTCTCCTGGGTGCCTGCCTCTTCTGAGGCCCTGTAAAGGTACTGCTCCTGGTACCCTTGTGAGGCAGGTGGCAAACTTCCCAAATTGAATTTCCTTTTTCTTGTCTGCTTGTGTCTGTCCTCCAGACGCCCTGTGGTCCTGAGATTACTCATGCCCCCCAACCCCCGATCATTTCTTTCTGTTCACTTTGTTTGTGGACCACATTCTGATTCACCCAGGGCCAGATAACATGGCCACGTGCCTCACCTGCTGGCCCACTGCATGTTTGTGATATGTACTTTGAAATTCTTAGTCGAAAACCCTAACCTCTTCTTGGAGACTGTTCTTTCTGATTTCAGGTATCTCAGTTCTCTAGAATCCCCTGGACTGAACCTTAAGAATTTTCTTATAACCCTGTCAGCTGTTGCCTTTCAAAAACTCAGTGTAATGCTGAGTAAACATTCTGGCCTCTGGGCTGTGCATCTCCTAGTCTTGGGGATTAGACACTGTGCTCATGTTTTCCATCCTTGATTATTCTCAGTAGATTTTCTTCTCTTTTTTCCCCCTCTTCCCTAAGGCTTCATTACCTCCCATTTGTTCACATCTCTTTTCTCCATTTTTCTTGTTAAAGACAGATTTAGAAAATGAGTTTAGTCTCTTGGCTATTTTGGAGTCATCATTAATTTCTGTTCCTCTTCATTCCTTAGCAGGCTAACAGGTTTGTGTCTCTTTCTCCCTTGTTTCCTCTTAATGGGTCTTTGAAAGTCTCTTTTCTTGCTGGGTTAACCCCTTTGCCTGTTGGGGCTTGCCTTGGGTCCAAGAGGCCTCTGCCCTTTCTGGGTGGTATTCTAGGTGATGCAGCCACTGCGATTGTTCTGGGTTTAAAGGGTACTGGGTCTCCCAGATGGAGTAAGTCATGCACTGCCTCTGGCCGACTTCATGCAAACTGCAGACAGGGTCTCCCAAGATGCACCTTGAAACCCATCTGAGGGGTCCAGGCGAGGCCTGAAATATGCCTGTGGAAAGGTATGACCCTCTCAATGATGTGTACGCCCCATGGGGGCAAAGACTAGTCTCCCTAAATCCTGTTTTCTCAATGTAAAATTTGTATTTGGAGAACAAATGGCTGACTGAACGAATGACTGAGGGAGGGGGAGAAAGAAGAAGGGAAAACACCACACACTTTGAAGGTGGGCAGACTAGGCTGTGAACCCAAGTTTGACTTTGCCAACTCTTTCACTTTGCATTCTTGGCCAAGGAGCTGAGCTTCTGTGTCCTTCCTAGGACACAAGGAAATAATTCCTACCCTGCAGGGCTTTGGGTGAGGATTAAAGGAGTGAACATAAAGCACCTTTCTCAGTGGCTGCACATGGTAGGTACTCAGTAAATGGCATGTCCCACACCTTGGAAGCTATTTTAGAACCTTGATCCTTATTAAGGGTGCTCAGAAGCCCAAGCTCGAAGCCCCTGGGTTTGAGGCGTCTTTGGGATTCTGCCCCCTGTATGTGGGGAGAGCAGAAGCTAAAGGGGAAAGGGAGTTACAGAGCCGGGGTGGGGATCTGGCTGGAGCCCCCCAGCAGAGACCCTCCATGTCTTCTATGGCAGCCTCAACACACATGCACCCTTGCCAGCTCATCAGTGTATTGCCATTACCAAGAGGGAGCTTTGTCAGTGTATTACTGTTATTCTCAACGAGGAAATTGAGATAGAAAAAAGGGGTGTGGTGACCTGGAGCCAGTCCTGTGGGGAGATTTAAGAGCTGGATTTAGAGCATGGCTTGCTGGTTCTTAAGCCTCCATTGCAGCCCACTTCAGCCCTGAGTCCCTCTCCCTTCCTCCGACAGCTGTTTCTCTTTGGATCTGGTCAACTGTCCACCTCAGGTTTTACAACTGCATTTCTTTAATGTGGTTGCCTTTGGCTTTTTCCGTGATTGTGAAGTCTCCACCCAGGATAACTCCCATCCCATTTGCATCTGGAGGGCTGGTTTATACACACAGAGGGGTTGAATTCTCTAGAGGGCCTGGGGTGGAAGGCACCACTGAGGGCTACCTGTCTGTCTCTGTGATAGGGTGACCTGGCTAGATGGGACTGCATCTGTCTTGCTAGAGCTGAGGCTTTGCTGATCATCAGAGTTGCCTGGGGTTGGGCTTAGGGGAGTCGTTCAGTTCATTTTAGAACTGACTTTCCAGAGTGATGAGGGCCAGGGAATCCTCAGGGACCCTACAGTGGGCCTGTTGGGACCCTGATCCATAGCCTACGTCCTGAGGGTGTGGCGGTCTGGTTCTTCTGCTGCCCTGGTCGTGGTCAACATGTTGTTATGGAACATAGAAAGAGTGCAGACCTGTTCTCTTTAGATGGTGCACAGGTGACTTCCTTCTTTCTCTGTTCCTCATCTATAAAATGGGTACAAAACTGTTGCCTGTACATCCCCCTACAGGGTTATTGTGAGGACAGAGTGAACAATGTTGAGAAAGGACTTTGACAAACATAGAACCTGAGTACCCAACAGGGTGCTGTGGGATGTAGTGAGGGAACCTCACCAAAGCACTGGACTGCAGGAAAACTTGATGAAAGGACTTTATCCTCTTGGGTTTTACTAAAAATAGAGACCAGGAAAAAAATGCAACCTGGTCTCAGTTTGAAGATCAAGTTATGAAGATCTTGTGAAAAATGTTGCTGATGCAAATTATGTCAACCTCATTGCCTGAAACAAGCATTCCCCCTGCCCTTGAAGCTGGCATGTAATCATTGATTTTTTGTGCTTTAGAGTCCTACAAAGTCCACTCACAATGGCCCTTGGGGTCCTGTGGGGCTTTTCTGAGACATTAATACATTAATACCCTCCAGGAACATCTGTTGAGGGCCTTCTCTGCCTCAGGAGAATTCATGCAAATTCTCTTAATTCGTGCAAAGGTGAATTAAGTTTAGGTCTTTGGCTTCAGTGGGATAGTCTAGGGGTGGAAGAGGGAGACAGCGTGTAGAGATGCTTACTATACAGTGTGATGAGGACTTGGGGCTCCCTGGGAGCATTTAGCACAGGTGGGGGATGCATCTTTGGGGATAGGGAGGATTCTAGCAAGGAAGGCTTCCAGGCCACCTGAAACCTAAGGATGGGTGCAAGTCAGCAGCTGAAAGAGGCTTTCTGGGGACATGGGTGATGATTGTGCCAGGTAAAGGGAACCATGTGCTGCATGTCCAGATGCCTGGCAGTGAGAGAGAAAGCCTGGTATATTTGCAGGGCCTAGGCCTGTGGGACCCACTAGACCTGGAACCAGACTGACAAGGTGACTCCCCACCATGCTTCCCTGTGGCCCCAAAGTCAGTGTACTAAAGGGTTGGAATCTTTGATTCCAGGTACCCTGTCTCCCAGTATGGCCCTGTGACCTGAGATCTCTCTCACTGAGGCAGCAGAGTGATTCATATTAGAGCAGAAGAGGGGATCAGGGCTGCAGAAAGACAAGATCCCCTCCCTGTGTGCCTCATTTGCTGCCAACTACAGGTATCTGATGCCTCTGTGGCTCCTTCCAGAGGGGCATCTTGGTGCTTCCTCCACAAGGGCCCTAACCTCTGTTACATACAAGTGTCCTAAGGATCACAGAATCCTAAGAGGTCTCCCTTGAACTACCTGCCATACTCTGAACCATTCTACATGTGTTCCATGCACTCTGCAAGGAGGCTGATTAAACATTGAAATCTCATCCTCTTAAATGTGCCTCTGATGTTCTTAGGATATGAACCAAACTCCCTGCCTTAGTCTGCTGGGTGAGTGTGAGGCCCATGCAGAAACCTAGGTGAGGCAGCGTGGTATGGTGTGGGACCAGCCTCAAGACCAGTTCCAGCATCTCCCTGCATGTCCTCCAGGGCTCTCCGCTCAAGCCACATTGCGCTTCCCTCGATACCCCCATGTGCCATGCCACCTCTAGCTCATGGCCTTTGCCTGTGCCGTTCCCTCGACTTGGAATATTTTCATGCAGCCTCTGACTCGCTTTAGTTAATGTCTATTCCTCTTTCAGGTTTCAGCACAAGTGTCATGTGCACAGATCCATAGGCCAAAGACATCCAGTGAGTTGGCCTGAACTACATGACAATAGAAAGTAGGCTGCTGCCTTTGAGTGACAACAGCCTCTCCTGATGCTTGTCGAAACTGAGTCCATACTGTGCTGGTGCCTCTCAGGAGCAGGTACCTGCTTCATAGAGGAATTAAGGGAGATGACCCCCAAGTCTTCCCCCAGGAGTAAAAGGGCACCTTGGTTCTTTTGTCCTTACTACATCTGGCAAGTCCAGCTGTGTCCCTGAGGTGGGCAGCTCACTCCCTGCAGGAGGCAGTGGGGCTCCCCTCCCTGTGCCAGCTGTCCATTTGCAGCTCAGAAACCTTCGCTGATGCCAGCAAGGGTGGTGTTTGCAAAGAGCAACCGTGTGCTCCTTATTTATTGTGTGGAAAAGAAAACAAATTAAGCTCTTGTAATTATACAGTCAGACATGGCCTTAAATAAAGCTTAAGCAGTCAAACTCCACTTAGAATATTAATAATTGCCTTTCCCAGCCCTGATCCCCAGCAGCTTTCTTTCTTTGTACTCCTCCCTTCCCTTCCCACCCATCTCCACTCTTCTTCTCCCCCGGCTCCCTCATTGGTGCAGACCTCTGCTTGGCCCTCAGAAATCTCTGGAAGACCCCCTAGCAGTGACTAGGAAGACCCCTTAGCAGTGACTAGTCCCTGTTGGACTTTTCACATATCACTAGTGGCATTTATTAAGTGATTTCACAGTCATGGGGTTGTGCTAGAATATTCTTGTCCTGCCCCCACCTCCCTTATTTTGGTTAATCCATGAGAAGTTGCATAATATTATGATTGAAGACACAAGTTTTGTATCAGTCAGAACTGGGCTCTGTTCCTACCTTGTTTGCTGACCAGCTGCGAGATCTTGGTCAAGTCATCTAATCTTTTTGAGCTGACTCTTCCCTCTGGTAAGAAAATCATCTCCCTCATAAGCTTGTTTTAAGACTTGGATGACATAATGCATTTGAAGTTTTGGCACACAGCAAGTTTCTTACAAATATTAGGCCTTTCAGTTACTATAGCTCTAGATCATACCTCATATCAGAATTTTATGGAGTTTCTTACTTTCATTTTTCTGGACTCAAACATTTATTGATGTGCCCAGAGCCTGCAGGTACGTATTAGGTCTCCCAAAGCGTCTGTGAAGTGAAATGGATGCATCTGCTTGGGGCCTGGCAGGAGGACATGGAGTCGGGGTGGTCAGTAATACCATGTGATGTGTTGTTCTGAGGGTCCACTGACATGCCTCCCCTCACGACTAATGACCAGTTCTCTGAGCAATATGCTATCTTAACCATTGTGGCTATAGTGCTTTACATACCACATCTCAAAATACCATCTTATTTAATATGCTATAATAAGATGAAGTAGCTAGCAATTACCATCATCCCTGTTTTACTAGTGAGGAATCTGAGAGAATGCATTGTCCAAGACCACACAGCTAGAAGTAGTAGAGTAGGAGCCGGGACCCAGGTCTCAGACTTTTTCAAGTTCTAGCTCTTTTTTTGCTATACTGGGCTGTTTCCTATGCTGCTGCCAACACCTGGGAGGAGACTCATCTGGTTTCTGGACCTCAGAGTCGTGATGCTGCTTCAAGACTTAGTGTGAATCAGTCAGTCACCACCTTACTGTCTCTTTTAGTTTCCTTTCCTGTGACATGGAAAATGCACAGCAGCACTGGCTTTACTTGTGATATGATATGTGATATGATGGTAGTTGGGTCTTTGCCAGAAACTAACTTGAAAGTAGTTTGGAAACACTGAAAGATGGTTAGGTTCAAAATCTCTATTAGGTGATTATATGGATAATACCATAAAGGGCCTTGTTCAATGCAGGTAACAGGTGCTTTGGAAATGCTGGCCACAGGATTCAGGAAGGACATGGGTCTTAAGTTTGTCCTTGGAGGAATTTTTGCAGTATTATATAGGAAGAGGGGAGAAAATTCATGGAATGTACATGTGTGCACATACAAGCAAGCAGGAAACAAAGTGAAGAGAAAAAGAGACGAAATATTTATTGTGTTAAGCTCTGTGTTAGGTGTTCTTCCAACAGTAATCCATCTTCTTGTTTTATACATGAGGACTCTGGGGCTCAGAGAGGTTATGTAACGTGCTCAAGGTCACACAGCTACTGAAGAGATTTATTCATATCTATAAATGTCTGGTCCAGAGCTCATGTTCTTTCTGTTGTAACTGATATAAAGACCAGGTCACCTCTCTGAGGGTGGTCAGGAGTCCAACGTTCCCAAATGAATATTTAAAAATTGTTTCTTCTTGGGAGGGAAACTGATACTACCATTTTTGCTTACTCAACTCCCAGCCTCCATGGTTCCGTCCCTGGGGGTTCAGCACCATGGCCAGAGCCCAGGGAGCCCTCCCTTTCCTCCTGGGCAGTGAACTATGAACAGCTCCCCAGAGAGAAGCGCCCAGGCCCTAGTCCCCGGCTCACCTTCCCCTAGCATTGCCACAGCTGCTAGTGGGCTGACCTATGTCCTTAAGCGAATGCCACTGCCTTGGCACAAGCAAAGAGTTAGGTGCATGTGGTGGACAGGTGGCCTGCGCTCTGTTTGCCAGCCCTCCTGCTGGGATCTAGACCCAGATGTAAACAGTAGAGGGAGTGCCCCTTCCACTTCTGCCTTCCAGAGGCCCAGTCTAGAGTGGACGAGGATTGTGATTTATGACTTTGATTACCCTGCATTGAGGAATTATCTAGGGCTGTAGGATTCCAAAGGATCCTGAGCAGGAACAGGATTCTTTCTTCCAGACCAGAGCTCCCAGGGTCAGGTCTGTTCTGTTACTGTTGAATGGGGCCTGGAGCAAGTAGATTTGTCATGTGCTTTCTCACAGGAATAGATAAAGTGGGCCAAATGGTGAGAAAAGCACAGCAGAGCTGGCTGAGTTATGATGTGGGTGGGTTTGTCCCCTAGGATGATGTGATTTTTTCATTCTTAGAAGGTTTTCACCTGCATAGTATAGAACCAAGTCCCCAGCTGGAGATCAAGACAACTTCTTGCTCATGCGCATGTGCACATACACACACACACACACACTCAGGTGAACACATGCCAAGTGTCATGACAAGGGTGTGGATTTTGGAATTAGACACGTGGACTCAGGCCCTGTGATAACACTACCAGCTTCGTGACCTTGAACTAGCTATCTCACCTCTGAGCCATGGATTATTGAATTGCTTATCTGTCAATGAGAGCAAATCATTATAATAATACAGACCATAAAATGTTGTTGGGAAGATTCAGTGGACAAATATCTTTAAAGCGTATAGTGATTAGCTCCTAACAAACACAGAGTAAACGTTACTTATTATTTTGATTTCTCAGGAAATGATTTCTGTATCCCAATTTTCTTTAGTTTACTCTCATGATTATTGGTAATGACTATGGAAAAGTCCTTATAGCAAGGAAAAATGATTAGCAAGTTAATTAATTATTTGCACTTATGTTCAGATCTCAAGATTTTAAATTAAGTTGAGGTCAGCCATAGCAGTAGTGCAGGTCTAAGAAATAATGAGTTGAGTTTGGCACCCTGTTCAATGCAAGACTTAGGAAAATTGAGCCATTCAGTGAAATTTACCTGCATGCTTTTATTTAACAATGATTGTGATCAAGGTGTAAATCATTCCTTCCACTTTGCACAAAGAACTACAAGCAGAAACACAGTTCACAAGTCCTAATGTTAGTGATTATTCCTGAGAGTGCCAGCCTTTGGCCAGGCCCATGCATCCACATGCCCTTTTACTCTGTTCTGTTCCCGCTTGTTTCTCTAAGTCTCAATGCAGATTGCATTGTCTCTATGGCCTCCTCAACTCAGTTCATATTCAATCCTCAGCTCCTTGAGAATCTACATGGAACCAAGTGGGATGGGGGTTGACTCTAGGGTCCATATACTCAATATGAGGTAAGAATTCTTATCTTGTCTCTTCCTTGAGTGAGTCTATGTGAACACTACCAGATCTCTTCAGGAGAGAGGCCATGGGGTGTAGGCATGAACACTGCATTTCCCAAACATTTTGCAGAATTGGACAAGAGAGGCCAAAAGACTGCATGGTATAAATTACAGAAAATGGTGGTGTAATGACACTGTTGGTGAATAAATTAAAGCCCTGAATCATAAGGCCAGTAACAGAGAGGGGGCAGAGAAGTGTAATTAAAAGGAGAAAAGAGATGTTTTTAGCTGACACTGGAAGTAAGACAGAGATGGGGGCAGGGTGGGGAGAGAGGGCAGCTCAGAAGAGAGGACATGGGTATTGCTGGCAGTCAAGGAAGGTAAGAAATGAGGCCAGTACTTATGAAACTAAGGAGGAGAGAGGGACAATGGGGGTAATCTTAGTGGGAACAAAACAACATGGGCTTTGGCAGTAAAGATAGCTGTCAGATGTACTCTGCAGACACAGAATAAGATGAATGGAAGAGTTCTGATGAAGACAGATGAGATCCTGGAGAATAAGGAGTAAAATCAGGGGTTAACTGGATCTCCCTGGAGTCACAGCATTCTGAAGATTGTTCTCCAGTGTCACTTGTATCTGCAGCTGGCCTTTCTTGCAAATACTCTTTGACTTATCCTTTGTAGGAATGAGAAGTAAACCAAGACATCTGGGGCAAGAGTGCCTGTCTTGGACCAGGTGGCATGGGTAAGGCTGTGGCCAGCCCGGCTGCAGCCCACCACCGTGTGGGTCCAGCAAGGGGCCAAGACCGTGGGGAAAATTCAAATTCTAAGCCAGAAGTAATCCTTTTTGGACAAGAGTTCTTCCCTGGATTCCTCTGGAAATGGAGTAAATGAACAAATTTCTATGGGGAGCTGCCTTGTTCACCCCATACACCCAGTACACCCACATTTCCCAGCACAGTATAGGTACCTAATTAGTGTTGAATGATTGCATGAGCAGAGATGACTTTTAAGATAGAGAAAACAAAATGATGCTAAAGCTGACTCTGTTTATAGCATTTGCTCCTCTCTTTTGTTCACTGCTGTAAAGTGACACCTAGATGCACGGCATATAGTAGGATCTCAGTAAATAACACATTGTCCAAAGTGGGACACTTTGGAGAATGGAAGGGAAACTGACCTGATGAAATTCCAGGATAATAGATGTGAGCTGGGACTGTTTGGGCAGACCAGAATGTGTGGTCACCTGTCACTAGTAATTAATACAATGAATTAGTCTTGTATCCTTGGAACTATCTCAAAAAGAATGAAGGTCCTGCCTCCTTCTGGCCACATTACCTCCATTTATGCTTGGGCTCATTCAATAAACATCTACTAAGCACCTACTCTGTACTAGGTATCTTGCTAGGCATCAAGAAGACAACTAGAGGGAAAAGCTGTCGTTTTACTCCAGGATTCCCTCCATTCAAGAGGCAGCTAGACTTTTGAGAGATACATGATTTGACATTGCTGAGCTTGATGGATGGATGAAATGCTCTGGGAGCATGTGAGTGGGGAAAACCAGTGGTCTGGAGGTGGTGGTCAGGGAAGGCTTCTCAGAGGAGGGATATATCAGTAAGTCATGGAAGATGATTAAGAATTTGCCAGGCATTCTGGGAGAAGACTGAATGTCAAGGACAACTGCCCAGGGCACAGGGCTCATTATAGATCAGCTCAACAACACCAGGTTGCTGGATGCTGGGAAATATTGTTGTGACTAAGACAAATGAGCCGTTGACCTCATAGATAATATGAATTGCTTGCTACCAGATATTATATAGTCCATTGGGGCTGTGTTGGGGGAATTTCTGTATGAGTTGGGAGCCTGGAGGAGGGGCACCTACCCGACATGGAGTGGTGTCATTTCTAGGTGCTGACATTGGCCCCTAGGGAGAGATAGGAGGTAGGGAGAGAGACATCCAGATACTCAGGTGGACTGGGAAGAGAAGGTTTTGTGTGCCCTTCTTATACCAAGTGTATGGGGTGCCTCTCACTCTTTTGCAGCTAATGTTACCTGGGCAAACAGAGTGGCCACAGTGCTGGACCAAGGCAGCAACTGCTCATGTACAGACCTAGAAGGTCTAGAGGTCTCCCTGATCCTCCTGGAAGTCTGAGAATGAGGAGGGAAAGGCTGGGTGGGAGGTACTGGAAAAAAGAGACAGGAAGCTGGAGAAAGAGGAGGAAGCTGGGGCGTTGCATAGATAAAGCCCATCTGCCTCCCCATCCAAAGCAAAATGTTCCTCATTATTTTCCTTGGATGAGTTTGCTATCCTGATGATATTAATTATTCTTAAAGGTCAACAGCGCTCTTTCGAATCCCCTTCTGTTCTATCATGTAATCAGTTAATTAATTGGAAACCATTTAGCGCGTATGCTGAGTGCGTTGTCTGGTGCGAGTTTTCTTGTTTTGTTGCTCCTGCAGTGATGGTTCCCTCCATGCTCCTGTTTTCTTTCAAGGATTTGGAAACTTGAGAGTGGGCCCCCTTCTCCCCTCTCCTTCTGCTGGCTGATCCCCCGTTCATTCACAGTTGGCTTTGGAGGTGTTCTCTTTAGCTTTTTCCTTTGTGAGTCCTTACTGGCAATATTAATTCATTTCCATTGAGTGCCTACCATGTGGTGGGCACTGTGTGGGGCATCCGTATGTGTTATTTCACTTGATTCTCACCACCTCATGTGGTAGAGATTTTGCTCCCATTTCAGAAGAGAAAGGAGTGAGACTCAGCCTAGAGAAATGAGCTGTTCATGAGTTGTCTAGCTAAAATGTGTGGCTGAGTAAGAACAGAACCTTCTGGAAGCCTTATATCCTGATTTGCTGTGGCGCTGGTGCTTCAGAGTATCTGGGAGAGGAGACTTGGGTCTTGTGATAGGGTTTTATTTAGAATTCTTAGTCCCAGGCATTGCTGGTTTATTACAGGAGTGAGCACTTGAAATATGAAGCTGGAGCTCTGTCTTCCCCATCTTTCTTTATTGTGCTTCCATTTTGCTCTTCCATTTTGCTCTGATGTACACAGAGGGGATTCCTCAGCAGCTGGAGGGCAGATTAGAAGCAGGAATGCATTGCTTGTGGTAAAAAATCCCTGCCAGCTCCTGAATATGCCCAGCCCCCCAGGACGATGCAGTCCCACCAAAAGGCCGACCTCTGTGGGACTCATGAGCAGCTCAGCATGTTTGTTCAGCTGGGATCTCCTGCCCAAATCCCTCCTGGAGAGGGGCTCTAGGATGCTCCAGCCCTGATTTGTCACTGTGTGATCACTCTACAAGACCTCTCCCTGCCTGGAGTATGTAGCTCATTTCTGGTTGACCTCTCTCCATGCCTTTCCCTATGCTCTCCTCCATGCTAGTGGATGGGTCTCCATTTTTTATGGCTGTCACACATGGTCCCAGTTAGTCCAGGGAACACAGTGAAAAATTGGACTCCAATTCCCCTCTCAGTGACCAGAACTTCAAGTCTTTCCAGACCTGGGGGTGAGGAAGGCTTTCCAAATTTTACCTAAGAATCGTAGGATCCTGTCCTAGTGGTGGTGACAGGCAGTGATCGCTAGGAGCACAGGAGACAGGGCCCTAGTAACGTAGCCCCTCCTGCTAATGCTAGCAGGTAGTAAAGGGCACAGACTCTGCATCCAGACTGCTGGGGTTCAATCCCTGGCTTCCCCCACACAGCAGCTACTGACCCAGGGCAAGTTGTCTAACTCACTTGCTCTGTAATCTCCTCTCTGTAAAACAGAGATGATGATAATGATGATAGTAGCATATCTCTCATAGGGTTGTTGCAATATTTAAGTGAACTCTTATATGCAAAACCCTTAAAGATAGCTGGCCAAGAGCAATCACCATGTTTGTTAGCTGCTATTACTATTACCACCTCAAATACCTCTGTGACCCCAGCAGCCATGCATTGAGTACCTGCTATGTGCTAAGCACTGTGTTGGGCATTTGACATGCATTAATTTATCTTGATCTTTAGAATTGCCCCATAAGGCTGATATTATTAGGACTTGCATGGTCAAGATGAAGAATCTGAGGTCCAGAGAGATTAAATAACTTTCTCAGGGCAGGTCCCACAACTCAGGAGGGTCAGAGCTGACAGCTTAGCCCATCTTCGAAAACCATTGCCTACCTCTCCCCTAAATGCTTTTCCAAACCCACACAGCCACTGTTCCCTTCCAGAGTAGTGTGCTAAGGAAAGAATGAGCTTCTCCATCATACACTTGGATGGGGCTTTCTCCACTGTCAGTTGCCCATTGACTTGGTCCTAAAAGTGGGTCTGCTACCTTGTTCCTCACGTGATCCCCAGGGTTGAGTCTTCTGGACACCCCTAGGGGAGAAGGCCCCTAAAGGCCAATGGTGTGCTCACATGTCCTCCTGGACCCTGCTAGAAGTGGGGCAGAGGAAGTCCAGCTATGGCTTTTTACATGCGCAGGATCTACTCTGGAAAAGGGGCAGGGCAGGAGGTCTGAGCTGTCAGCAAAGCCCCCACTCTTCTGCGCTGGCCACTCCAGAGAGCAGCCTTAGTGAACCCTTTGACGCTAGCCGCTGACTCTGCCCCAAGCCTCTAGGACACTACCTCAGGCACTAAGCTAAGGTCTCTGCTTCTTAGCTCATCCTGTAGCCTCAAGGGCTCCCCATCCTCAGGCAACCAGGGGTATGGGTCCCTCAGTGGGCCTAGGCACAGCTGTGACTCCTTGAGTGTGGCTCTGGCTGGCCTGTTGCTACGTGCTCGTCTCTTCCCTCTCTCTGCTCAGCAGCACCCCCTTGACCATGGCTGGGGCGCCCCTCCTTCCTCTGGGTTCCCCAGCTCCAGCTTTGGGTCTCACTCATTGGTTTGGATGCTCTCGTCCGAGTCCTGTTTTCTCCTCTGCTCTCTTTTGGGACCATCTCCACTCATCCCGGGACCCTCACTGCCCCTCTCACTTTCTCTGGTTTCTAGCCTCTGTCGTCCTCTAGGCTCACCAGGCATGAAGTTCAAGCAATGTGTGTGTGTGTGTGTGTGTGTGTGTGTGTGTGTGTGTGTGTGTGTGTGTAGGAGGCTGGGTGGGGTGGGGAGGCACAGATTCATCTTGTAATTGAGTGCAGGAAGCAGGTGTAGGAGGCACTTTGGGCAGCAGGGACCTCCCTTTAGTCAATGTGCAGTGCTGTGATGGCCCTGCCCTGGACCAGCCAGGGGCACGTCCCCATTGGAGATTCTCCATCAAGTTCCAGGAGGGGATTGTGAATTCCCCTATGTGGTTATTAACAATGGCATTTGTTCCCAGGAGCCTGCACAGGCATCCCTCGGCTCCCTGACAGGGCATCTCTTTTCATCTGCTCACATGACTCTTTCATTTCCTTATATGTGCATATACGATTGTCTACTTCTTTAGGGCAGAGGGATTTGATTGGAGCCAAAGTCAACTTGCCCATGGGGAAAACAAAATTTCACCAGATCAGTGGTTCTTAAAGTGTGGTTCCCAAACCAGCAACATCAATGTCACCCAGGGAACCTCTTAGAAAAGCAAATTCTCCAGGCCTGCTGAATCAGAAACTCAGGAGGCCTGGTAATTTGGTTTTTCCAAGCCTCCAGGTGATTCTGATACCCGGAATGGGAGAACCTCTCCCCTCAATGCTTTCTCAAATCCACACTTGGCTTGTGTTCCCTCTAACCTCTTATCTTGGAGGAGGGATTGGATGCAGCGTTGGCCTAATCAGATTTCTTTATGAAAAGGCCCAGAGCAGCTTTCTGTTCACAGTTTTGTTGTTTTTAAGAGAGTCATAGATTTTCCTTTAATCTGAATAGTAGCTCTTAGAAAGGGGACTGTTGTCTGGCCTGGCTAAAAAGTAATGAACAGGAATGTGCTTCCTCAGAGCAGCTTAGCACTCTTGCCCCTGCAGGCTCCCACCAGCCTTTGGGGACCCTGGCTTCTCCAGCCCTGACAGTGCCCGCCCTGGGCAGCTCTCTCTCAGCCCGGGGGCTTGGCCTGCAGCTGTACCTCTGTTCCCTTCTCCCTCTCTATCCCTTGCTTTGCTTTTAGTCAGTAGCTGCAAGGGGTTCTTGATTTTTCCCACAGATGCTTTCTGCGTCTTTTTTTTTCTCTTGTCATGACAGCTCTTGAGTAAAAATGAGTGTGATGTCTTGGGCACATCAGCACATCATGTGCTGGCGCCTCTCTGGGGTAGTCAGCTCCCACGCCAGGCCTGGCCTCCACCTCCCCGGGTGGTGGATCCCGGGTGAAAAGGCCCAGCATCTGCCTGGCAGCGCCCACCTGGGACTCCAGAGAGAGCTCACATGCTTCAGGGTAATTAGCCTTAGGTTAATTTATCTGAAAAGAAACTCCCAAGGAGCAATGCCCACCCACCCCGCAGAATAGTTTCAATAACACTCAAGGTCTGGTGCAAAGCAGACAACATGAAGAAACACAGCAGATTTTAAGGCCTTTGGTGGCCTTGTGCTGCAGCGGAGACCCAGATGCAGGTGGCCAATAGACCTCAGGGTGAGGACCGCATTTTCCCTGGACCTCAGGCCCTGCCCAGGCATCTGCTAGGTGGGCTGCAGGAGGCAGCACACCAGCACCAGCCCAACCCTAGGGGAGCAGGTGCTGCCTGCTGTCTTGTTACAGCAGGTCTCTATATTGCCTTGTGAACTCAGACTTTACTGAATACAATGATGCCTGAATTCAAGGGGTCACCACCTGGACCTCCTGTATTTGTTTTAATGGCGTGGGCGCGTTGTGGCTTCGGTGGTGACTGGCAATGGGCAGAAACAGTGACAGAGCATGTTCACTGAGTGCCCACTGAGGATGAGGCACTGTGTCAGCTGCCGTCCATACCCCATTTAATCCTCACCACAGCTCAAGTGGACATGCCCTATTATTATTCCCAACTTCCAGATGAGCAAACTGAGGTACAGAGAGGTGAAGTAACTCACGCAGAGTCACAGGGCATGGAGGCAGCAGTGGTAGGACCGGCACCCGGGCCCGTGAGGTGCCAAAGGCCATGACCTTACCCATCCTGCAACACTAAGGATCAGAAGTCACTCCTGTAGCCAAGATTGGCCAAGAGGGGAGGATCCCTCAGCTGCCCTGGTTTGAGTATCAGGAACCCTGGTGCCAGCTACCAGCCTCTGCTACCATCCAGCTGGGTCATCTTGGGAACTGGCTTAACCTCTGGGATCCCCATTTTCCTCTCCCGTAGTCAGAATCCAGGACTCCGGGTCCTGGCTCCAACAGTGACTTGCCTGGTGACACAAACAAGTTATCTCCTCTCCCAAGTCCTCCTGGATCTCACAGTCTCGGCGTCCCTCGTGTAGGCCAAGGGAGGTGGGCTGAGGGCTCCCCACTGTTCCCCCATGTTCTGCGAGGTTCTGAGTGTGCTCCTCAGCGCAGAGACGTGAAGGTTTGTGCTGACACCGAGAAAAGCATGCCTACTGGAGGGAACAGGGAAGGGCTGCTGGCTCTGGGACCTGGGCTCACAGAGTCAGCTCCTGGTCCTGCTCGGCTCCACACGTGTTCCCATCAAGAGGCCAGGGCAGGATGGGCCCTGCCGAGGCAGCACAGACCAGAAGGGACGGGGATCCTGAAGGGCAGAAACCCAAATGTCCTTGAGAGGCAGGGAGGGGTCAAAGAGGCAGAGCTCCTCAGACCCCCTAAGAAGAGTTCTCAGTGTGTTTCTTGGTGGAGCCAGACGGAGACAGCTGTGGGGATAAGTGTGTATGTTTGAATATGTGTGCGTGGTATGGTGTGTAGTGTGGTGTGTGTGTGTGAGAGAGGGAAGAAGAGGGAGCGAGAGCGCCTTCATCCTCTTGACACCCACTGGGAGAGTCTGGCTTGGCTGCGCAATGGCTGTGTGAGTTCATAGCAGTGTAGAAGTTGGCTTCACAGGGACAGAAAGAGGTCCCAGGACAGGTGGGTGGAGGAGGGCAGTGGGAGGAGCAGAAGCCGCACCCTGCAGGGTACAGGATTGTCTTTGTCCCTAGGCCTTTTTCTGCTGAGGTCTCTGCAGAGTCTCTTTGTGCACTGTGGTTGCTGTGTAGAAAGAAATGCTTCCTTCCAGTGTCCCTAGAAACTCAGGTTGGTTTTAGGTCCCTTCAGATGAAAGAGTTTTGTGGGTCTTCCGTTGAACTTTCCATACGTTCTTTGAGCACTTACTGGGTTCCAGGTGCTATAAAGAAAATAAAACTGAAAAAGAAAAGGTTGTCTTCAAGAAAAGCAACCTGGTGGGAGGCCAACACAGGCACAGCTGTCACTCCAGGCCAGCAGTCTGAGACGCAGGCTGTGACAGTCGAGGCCCAAGAAAAATGCAGTGGGAGAAAGCGGAGGGAAAGAAGATTTTAGAGTGGGTGGTGCTAGCCGTCTGCAGAGAGAACCACTCACACTGTGCTTGCAGGGTGGGGAGAAGGGCATGAAAGGTGCGGTGGTGTGGAGCAGGAGAAGTGCCAGGGAGCTAGCTCTAAGGGTGCAGCCAACAGGGCGATGCCATTTTGTCCCAGGTAGGTTTTTAGGGTTAGCTAGGGGGAGGGGCTGAAGGATGGGGGAAGGAGGTGGGTAGTGAGAGAATATATGGAAACAGGAGGCTGATGTCATTTTGTGGAAGTACTTGAATTCTGAGGTGGAGTTTGGACTTGATTAGGTGGGCCAAGCATTCTGGAAGAGTCCAGTTCTCTGTGTCCATATCTGGTCTCCCATGTGCCACGGTCCTTCTCCACCTCCTCAGCACATGGCAAGTGCTCACCTCTCTTTTCCTTCCTGCTCTGAGCTCCAGCCTGAGAGGATGCTGGCAGCTACTCAGTGATGTTGCACTGTGCTCTGGGACAACTGGAGTGATTTCCTTCTCATAAAACAAACTATGTGACTGCTGGATTCTGGGATGGATTGACATCTGGGGAAAGAAAACCTGACATTCCTTTGGAGAACTTATAATGACAGTTTTCTACCTGTTGACTGCTTCTCTCTACTGGGGACTTCAGGCAATGTCTGGATTTTTCAGATGGTCCAGAGCCGTGTCTTCTAATATGGTAGCCTTTGGCCACTCATGGCTATCAAGCACTTGCAATGTGGCCAATTCAAATTGAGATGAGCTCTGAGAGTGAAGCACATATGGATTTAAAGACTTAGTACAAAAAAGAATGTGAAATACCTCATTTATATAGATAGATAGATAGATAGATAGATAGATAGATAGATAGATGATAGATTACAAGTTGAATTGATGTTTTGGATATATTGGGTTAAGTAACATATTGTTGCAATTACTTTCACCTCTTTTCACTCTTTAACATGTGACTAACAGAAAATTTCACGTGGTATTTGTGTCTTTTATTATATCTATACTGGAGAGTACTGTTCTAGACAAGGGGTTGTCACACTTTTTCTGAAAAGGGTCACATAGTAAATATTTTGGTCTCTGTTGCAATTGCTCACCTCTGCTTTTGTAATGTGAAAGTGGCCCTATTAGTTGCTCATTGCTGTTGTAACAAATTAACACAAAGTTTGTGACGTAATACAACACAAATTTATTGCCTTACACCCAGAAATTCAACATGGGTCTCATCAGGCTACAGTCAAAGTGTAGGGAGGTCAGCATTTCTTTCTGGAGGCTCTAAGGGAGAATGGATGAATGGGTTTTCTTGCCTCTTCCAGCTTCTAGAGGTCACTCACATTCTTGGCTTGTGGCCCCCTCTTCCATCTTCAAAGCCAGCAACATTGAATGTCTTTGTGCTTTCCTTCATTAGTCACATGGGTCCCTACTTTCTCTCTGCCTTCCTCTTCTACCTTTAATGCCCCTTATGATTACCTTGGGACCATGGGATAATTCATGATAACTTCCTGATCTCAAGGTCTATATGCTTAATCACCTCTGCGGTGTAAGTTAACCTATTCACAGATTCTCGAGATTTGGATGTGGATACCATTATTCTGCCTGGAACATGACCGTAGACAACACATAATCAAATGGACATGGCTGTGTTTTGGTAGAACTATAAAAACAGACTGCCGACCTACAGGCTCTAGCTTGCTGACCCCTGGCTTAGAGAACATTTCTCTAAGGATGTTATGTGGGTATTTTTTGGCTAGACACTCCATGGAGAAGATTCTATGCTCCAGTAAGTTTGAGAGACACAGTTTGCCAGGTCCTTCTCTTACAGTAAAAGCTCTGAGAAGTTCTGCAGTAAATAAGCATGCTTAATTTTAATACAATTTTCAAGCAATATGATCTTTTTCCCCTTGAAATACCCATGAACATATTGCAGACCTCAGATTCCAGGAACACGCTCTGGGAAACCCTGGTAGAGCCCATAACAGGCTGCACAGAAAAAGTTGCCTCCAGTCTCCTGAGCTAAGGTCAAGACACCAGTCACGTCAGTTGAGATTTGATTAGAGAAAGCATTTTGACTTCATTAAAGTTCATTAAATGAGCCATCCAGTGTAATTTAACTGAATAAAAATGGCTCAGATGGCTTTAAACCCCACCCCATTTTACAGCAATTTAATTGAGGGAAAAGCAAATATATCAATGATGTAGGAAAATATTTCTTGGCCTTCAAGAAGAATGTTGGGCGGCAGCAGTTGCTTCCTTGTCATAGGCATTAGATTTTAAGGGGTTGGCTCATGGGCCCTCCTTGGTGCTGGCAGCAGGCCTTGGTGACAAGATTATATGGTGCCTCCTTCCTTCCCACTGCTTCAACCCAAGGAGGCTGGCGGCAGCCCCCTAACAGCTCCTTTGGTGGTAGGCTGCAGATACCTCTGGTGTGGAGCTGATGGTGCACAGAAGTAGTCACAGGGTCAAGACTGAGGAGGTGTAGGTTCCCTGGCTCTTGGAGAAGTGGGCAGTAGGCTGCTAGTTTCATCCTTCTGTGGTTTGTTCTTTTTTTTTTTTTTTTTTGCAAAGTCTATGTGGGCTTGGTGCTGCATCAGGGAATTCTCTTTTCTTGCAGATTCTTAATTAGTTCTGGTCTAGAACAGCACTCTTTTCTTGCAGATTCTTCAGCAAAATCAAAAGAATCCTGGTATGGTGTGTCATGAGAAGGGCCTGATGGTCTCCAAGATGATTGCTATGATCTGAATATTTATGTGCCCCCAAAATTCGTATATCGAAGTCCTCCCCTTCCAGATGATGGTATTAGGAGGCAGGGCCTTTGGGAGGTGATTAGATCATGGGGGCAGAGCCCTCATGAATGAGATTAGTGCTCTATAAAAGAGGCCCCCGAGAGCTAGCTAGCCCCTTCTACCATGTGAGATTTAAATGAGAAGACATCTGTCTCTGAGGAGGTGGATCCTTGAATCTGCTGCCCCATTGATCTTGGACCTCTTAACCTCTAGAACTAAGAAATAAATTCCTATTGTTTATAAGCCACCCAGTATATGGTATTTTGTTATAGCACCATGAATGGATTACAGCAAAAACCAAGGAGATATCTCTTTCATAGTGAAAAAAAAGAGGCTGGGCACAGTGGCTTACACCTGTAATCCCAGCACTTTGGGAGGCCGAGGCAGGTGGATCACCTGAGGTCAGGAGTTTGAGACCAGCCTGACCAACATGGAGAAACCGCATGTATTTTTAGTGTCTACTAAAAATACAAAAAATTAGCTGGGAGTGGTGGCACATGCCTTTAATCCCAGCTACTCGGGAGGCGTAGGCAGAAGAATCGCTTCAACCCGGGAGGCGGAGGTTGCAGTGAGTCGAGATCATGCCATTGCACTCCAGCCTGGGCAACAAGAGTGAAACTCCATCTCAAAAAAAATAAAAAACAAAAAATAAAGAAGAAAAGGGATAGATACTTGATGATGTTAGATCTTAAGAAAGAGGGAATTGCACCTTTCAAAATGCTGTCTTTGTGGATGAAAGAAATAAGATTTGCACCATAATGATTGCAGCCAGCAAGTCACAGACCCTGGGAGCTTGCAGGATTGGGAGGGGTTGGACATTCATTGTTTTCTGGTTAGCTGTGCTGGATGCACCAAGACCAAACGGTGCTCAAAAGAGTGCCTTTCTGCAAGCAGCAGAATGAATCCTCCAGGAAGAGTCAGTGACTGTGGCATTTATGTCTGGGATGCAAACTGAGTATGCCCCTGGTTGTCTGTTATCTCTTTTAATAATCTTTTTGCAGGAGGAGGCTGGAGTACACCCAGGGGGTGGGCAAGTGGGCAGATACCAGATTAGATCTTAGTGGCTGGAACCTGATTGGGAGGCTGGTTCCCTGGAGCCACCAAGCATAGACAGAGCAAGGGGGTGACAGAAAACCATGACTTGGAGGCTTTCAGGGATCACAGTGAGGCAGCCAACTTGGCCGTTAAGGCCTCAGGGCAAATGAGGGGCCGAGAACAGGTGTATTAATTTGCAATTGCTGCTAGAACTCAATGCCACAGTCTGGGTGGGTTAAACAACATAAATTTATTTCCTCACAGTTCTGGAGGCTAGAAGCCTAAGATCAAAGTGTCATTGGCAGGGCTCATTTCTTCTGAGGCTTCTCTCCTTGACTTGTAGATGGCCATTTTCTCCTCCCTGTGACTTTACATCTTTTCTTTATGTCTGTGTCCTAATTCTCTTCTTATAAGGACACTAGTCATATTGGATTAAGGACCACCCATATGTCCTTACTTAACTTTAATTAGGTCTTTAAAAATCCCATCTCCAAATACAGACACAATGGGGGTTAGGATTTTGTTTGTTTGTTTTGTTTTGTTTTGTTTTGAGATGGAGTTTCACTCTTGTTGCCCAGGCTGGAGTGCAATGGCGCAATCTCAGCTCACTGCAACTTCCACCTCCTGGGTTCAAGCGATTCTCCTGTCTCAGTCTCCCAAGTAGCTGGGATTACAGGCGCCCACCACCACACCCAGCTAATTTTTGGATTTTTAGTAGAGATGAGGTTTCACCATGTTGGCCAGGCTGGTCTCAAACTGCTGACATCAGGTGATCCACCTGCCTCAGCCTCCCAAAGTGCTGGGATTACAGGTGTGAGCCACGGCGCCCGGCTGGGTAAGGATTTTAAAAACGAATTTTGAAGGAATGAAATTCAGTACATTACAACAGAAAACACTCAAGTGAGAGGGACCAAGGAGGTGTGGAGGTGGAGTGAGCATCCAGGAGCTGGAGTGGGAGTACACAGGTGAGGCAGTCTGGTTTAATAGCTCAGAGACGCAGAGGACCTGCCACCAGCAATCCCTTACACATGCAAATCCTAAGACATACCTGCCCATTAGCCTGCCTCTACCAGTAGAAGAGGAGGTGCTTCCAAATGTCAGCCCAACTCTTAATCCAGGAAATCCACAAATCCTTCCATCTTCAGGACCACTTTTTGGATGGGGCTTAATGTCTCCTCAACTCTCAACCCCCAAAGGGGCAACAGAGGGACTCATCTGGTTGGTTTCTCTTGGCAACAGGGTCCGTCTTATTGACCCTTTTGTAACAGTAGGTTTCCCAGGGTAGAAGATGAAATCCTCCCCATTTGTGGGCTCTATTCCTGCCATACTTGGGTGCCACCATTAGGAAGGTCATAGGACTGCTTACTGTGCTTAGGTTTCTACTGGTCAGAGGAGAGGTTGCCTGGGAGGACCCCTGTTCATTATGGGGTTAATGCCAGAGGTGACATCTCAGCTCTGTCGTTCCTCAGGGCCCAGGGTTCAGCCATCTGTGTGTCTGGCTCCTTGTTCCCGGAGCACCCAGTAGCCACATCATCATTGTTTACTACCTCTGGACCCCAGAGTCTGGTCTGTGAGAGGGCCAGTTTTGCAGCACAAAATTAATGGCTTTGTTTGGTAGTCTCAGGCGAGAGATAGAAGGGGCAGTGTCACGGAACTTGATTTTGCGGAAGAGTTTGATGCATCATCTCGTAAAATCTTGCTCACCAAATTAATTCAATGGTCAGATGGCTTGGAAACTGGCCATTGACCCAAGCAAAAGTCAGAGACGGGTGATAATGGATCTATTAGGGAGGAGGCCCACAGAAAAGGCTGCCGTGGGGCTCAGAGGCAGGGTGTTCTTAATTAAACTCTTGTCTGATGAGCAGGGTAACCAGCTCATCAATAATTGATGACAGGTGCATATAGGTGAGGCCCCAGCTAGAAGGAAAAATCAGGGGCAATGAGTTCCGAGTGGGTGGCAACTCATACAGAAGCTTGTTTATTTACCCTGCGCTATGAGAATTTATCAATGCCGGTGAGGGCAGGGTGGCCAGAGGCATGCTCTGCTTGTTTTGTGGTGTGTATATGTTTGCCTTATCTCTTGTCTTTTTGTATAAGTTTTTTTCTGGGGCTTGGTGCTTCTACTGTGTGTCTGGCAGGGCATTGTGTACAGTTGCAAGGGTTGTGCACACTGCAACCCTCCCTGAACTTGTGCAATACAGTTTCCAGGCTCTGCAAACAGGCACTGGGTTGTCTGTGTCTGTGGGCAGATCACATGAGTGCTTCAGCCATTCCATCCACCCAAAGAGCGGGAGGAATCCAGGTGGGGCTTGATGGGTGGGGGAGGGGCAAGGGGGAGATGAAGCCAAGGCAGCCCTGGGAGAGTAGGAGCCCACTTCCCCCTTAACAGGGGTCCCAGGACCCCTCCTTCCTCTGACTTGTAATAAGGCAATAATGCTATTTCTTAGTCTTTATTTGCCCAGAATGTCTGTTATTTTCTTTCTTTCAGAATCCAATTTTCTTTTGACATTTCTGCCTAATGTAGCAAAGCATGACCTTTGTGAGAGGACATCGCTGGCAGCCTGCTCTCTGCCTCGGGTTCCCCAGGACTCCTGGCAGGCTCCCTGCCTGCTCCTCCCTCTGAGATGGGCAGGGCTGCCCATTTCACCTGGACTGCTCCTGTCTCCTGGCCTGCTAGTTCCCACCAGTTGCTTTTGTACCTTACCAGGGGCATGTTCTTCAGGGCTCAATAAGTCTGAGCTTTCTGGCTACCAACTGCCCATTGGATGCAGCTGCTCAGCTTCAGAACCATGGGTTTTGTTCAGGGAGGCACTGGAGAGGGGTAGGGAGCTAAAGGCAGGGGACGGACATCTTCCCAAAGTGCCGCAGGGATTACCTCATGGATTTGGAAGCTGGGGGCTTGTCCAGCTTTTGCTGCCGTGATGCTGTTGTGCATAGAGTAAACCAGGCAAAATAGAGCAAAACAGAAGATTTCTACCTAGATGAATCAAACACTTAGATTTAATAAAACCTCATAAAGGCCAGTGGCAATGGAGACTCAGAGCAGTACCAAATCCTGTTGTCCTGAACCCCAAGTTCGAACTCCTGGTCTAATAGGGTGTGGTTAGTGACTCAGTGGGAGTGTGTGTCTGGTCTCCAGCTCCACCCTTCTGAGCAGGAGCTGGGCTGCTGCATGGGGCTTTGCCCCAGGTGGTGTCCTCAGGTGGTCATCACTGCAGTTCTTCTTTTATCACACCTTTCTGATCGGTGGGGGAACAGTGGAAGTTTGTAGGAATAAGCTGTATAGTCATTAGGGGTTTTGTGGAGCTGAGCATGATGGATGGCTTAGGTGTATAGGCTTTTAGTGAGCATGTGCTGTCATACCAGAGGTCTCAGCCTTGCAGAGAGGCGGTTGGTGACAGTGTAGGGCCATGGGGACTATCCTAGAGGCTTAAAAACTCTGAACAGAGAGGGTACTGGGTACAGGGAAGACAGCAGAACAGTAAACTTGGGAGACATCTACCTATGTTTCTTTCCCTTCTCCTCCAGTACCCTGCACCCCCAGCATGAGGCTGCCTCCTCTGCACAGTCATGGGCCATCTCAGGGACCTAGCCAGTTCAGGCTGGGGTGGAACCAAGCCACTGCACCAAAGAGGGCTGCGTCCAATGAGAAGGGAAAGCCATGTCCCTTTGGTTGTTCTTGTATTTTAGTGTCTGGTACTGTTATGAACTGGGTGGACTCCCTCCCTATGTGATCTTACCCAGCCCCAACCTCTCCCATGAGCTCTAGACCCAGGAATCCAGCAGGCAATTTGACTTATCTCTTTGGATAGCTAACAGTGTGTCAAACTTCATATTTGCAAGGGGAAGGTCTCTATCCCATCGCCTCCATGTGATCCTTTGGCAGGCTTTCTCGTTCTACTCAATGATGTCACCATTTACCTGGCCACTCACTTCTCTTTCTCTCCTCTCCAAAATCCAATCCAATAGAAATCCTGGCAGCTCTACCTCTAACACCTATCTTGAATCCATCCACTTGATTATCTCCACTCCCTTCTCTTGGTTGGAAGACTGTAGCAGCTTCCTAGCTGGCCTGCCAACTTCCAGTCTTGGTCTTCTATTTTTTAAAATGGTAATTAGACTAGGTCACTTCTCTGCTGAGAACCATCCAGTGCCTTCCCACCACTCTTTAATATCAAATCCAAACTCCTCCCCATGGCCAGCAAGTGTGGCGTGAATGCCTCTCCCCCTTATCCCAAAGCACTCCTCACTACTTCCTGACTGGCTTCCTTCCTGGTCCTCTGGATCTCTCAGGCCTTGACACTTGCTACTTTCACTGCCTGAAACACTCCTCCCTTGGTACTCAGCTCTTTCTTCTTCTTGGCTCAGGCCTGATGCTACCTTCTCAGAAGGCACCTCTCTCTGAGCCCTCCGCACTCCTGTATCAGTTACTTACATCACGGTGTTGATACTCTTCCTTCTGCTTATTCATCTGTAACTTGAATATAAGATTCCAGAGGGAACTTCCCTTCCCCCTCAATGGTCAACTCCCTCATTCGTCAGTGTAGCCTCAATAAATATTTGTTGTAGAAGTCATCCAAATATAGGTGCGTGTGTAAGCATATGTGTGTGTATAAACAAGAGTCTGTGTTTGCCTTTAGTACCTACATGTTTAATAGACACAAGTATACACACATCGTGTTTGTGTGGATAGATATTTACCTAAATGGAATCAGCACTGCCATTTGTTCCCATCAGTAGATGAGTACATTGTTCCTGGGATGCCACTTCAATTCTAGCAGTGTCTAACTGCTGCCTTTAAGGGCTGTTATCACATCAAAAGTTGTTTGTTGAGCCTGGCAAAGTAATAACCGTGGGCGTGTTTCTTCTTTTATCCAGAAGACTAATGGCTGCTCCTTTCCCCTGTACATCCTAATGAGAACAATTAAATAGCCATTAGGAGGAGAACAGACGTGTGAACAAAAGGCTGATGTCTTGATCATTGGTGGGCATGTTTGCTGGGAGAGACACTGGCTAAAAGGAATTGTAGGTGACCTGCAGAGTTTTTTGACCTGTGTGCGTGTTAAGAATGCTAGTGGGCTTATCTACTCTGAGAACTCCCTGTCCTCTTAGAGAAGGATGGCTTCATAAAGGCTCTGTAAACTTTTATTGTGGGGAGGGGATATGGAAGAATGACCATGAGAATTTCATGGTTTCTTTGATTTGTAAAATCTTGCCCTTTAAAAGGCCTCAAAAGCCTATCCAAACCTGATCTATGCCCTCAGCTATTAGCAGATGTATCGCTAGCCTAACAGCATGAAGAAGAAGAAGAAGAAGAAGAAGAAGAAGAAGAAGAAGAAGAAGAAGGAAAACAAAGCCAGGCTCCAGTGAAATGATTAAGCTTACTACCTAGAGCATTATTTGTGCCAGACTTGTTTTAAAATTTCCCTTTATTTGTCAATCTTGCAGAAACCTGTCAAGTAACCGGCTCACCACACTCTCGTGGCAGCTCTTCCAGACGCTGAGTCTTCGGGAATTGTAAGTTTGGTTTTGAAGACTGTCCAGGTACTGAAGTGCTGGTAATGGGTGGATGGGGAGGAGTGTCAAGCAGTGGAACCACCTGAAGGCTGAGCATACATCTACTCGAAGAGCCTACTTGGGTTGGTTGACACAGAGTGTACCATGTTCAGTGAGAGCAATTAACCCTTTTGCTTGACTTCGGATGCTCTTTCTGGGCACAATCTATTTCAGAAGACAGGAGTCTCTTCTTTTATTATGACTTAGTTTTGTGATCTGTAGATAATTAGTTATAATAGTATAAATACTTATAATAAAGAATTTATAATAAATCACATTCATAATATATAACTTTATAGACTATTAGGCATGCTTTCATTTATATAACTTTAGATTTATCATCATAAGAGTCATAAGAGGTAGATATTATTATTCTCTGCATTTTATGGGTGAGGATTCTGAGGCTTAGAAAGACACGTGAGACTCAACTAAGATCACATTTCTAGGGCCTAGCCAAGCTGGGACTTGAACCCACACCTTTTGACTTCAAGTTACATGTCTTTTCACCACTCATAATCTTCTTCAGCTTATTTGACTTGAGTACTGGCATGTCAAGGGGTTTGGGGAGGCCATATATTTTTTCAATCTGCATGTGGACTGCTTAGCTTTGCTGTGGTCCAAGGCTGATCAGGGCACCCCTATCCCAGCCAGCCATTCTGCACAAACAAAGGAAGGCCAAATGAGTGAACATTCGTGACCACTGCTGGAAAAAATAACTCATGTTGATGAGTGATTCATCGGGGTCATCTCTGTGCATGAAGGACATCATATTATGTTGAGGGTATAAATCAAGGAATAAATTGAAAAGGAATTGAGGCATGGATCAAGTTAGGGAGTCAGGGTTCCAGAGACACCGCTCATGTGTTCCCTCTTACTTGGTGACGCAGATCCAAATTCACTGAATGCTGATTGCTTTACTCTCTTTACCAAGAGGCAATGACCTTGGACCTCTGCCTATGCTGTTGGCCTTTCAACTTGTTTTCCCTTCACCTAGCAAGACCTGACTTCATGGATGCATCAAAACCTTACCTTTTCAGACCCAGCTCTTGATGCTTTACATCAAGCATCCCAGTAGCCTATCACCCCATGATGACCTTGTGTACTGTAGGTGGAAAAGGTAAATTAACATGACTACTACGATTTACTACTAACACTGATTTCTGAGTTCTTCCTCTGTGCCAGGCATTGTGCCAAGCAATCTCTTAAGTTGTATACTTAATTTAATTTAATCCTTATGGCAATTCCTTAAGGTAGGAATTATTACTATCACTTCACTTTGGAGGACACTGAGATGCTTAGCAAGGTTAAGTATACTGTTTAAGGTCACTCACTGAATAGTGGCAGTGTGTGGACCCAAAGCTTTGACCACTGTGCTCAACTATCTCCCAGTGTTTTCAGTCTGTTTCCAACACAAGGATCTATTCTACCATAATTTTAAAAAAAACACATGATTGTGGTCTTTCTTAAGTTACCCTAGAACTGACTGAGGGCCTTGGGGGATCTCTTTCTTGGGTGTCTTGCATGTAATTATTCTGGAACCCGTAGTCCCTTCATCTCAGGAGGCCAGGGATGGCATCTCTCCAGGGGACATAGGGGGTCTGCTGTTGGCTGAATTATTGAGAAAATGTTCAGTGCTCTTTCTAAAAAATTATTGGATGTGAAATCAATGGTGTGCTGCTGCCCTGGTGACCTGTTACGTGGAGTTTTAGAAACAGTTGTTCCGTGGATATATATTTAAAGAAAATGTCAGATTTCTCCCAGAGGATCATGGGATTCTGCATTCATCTTTGCCTGGGATCAATACACCAGTGAGTTAGATGTGACTTATGGAGGAATGAAGACATTCCCTCCAGTGTGAGTCAGTGTGTGAGTACCACCATGTCCATGGTGTGTTTTATTTCTGTCATATTGTTAACTAAGAAAAAAATCATATTGGAGAATAAAGAAGCCCCCCTCTAAGGAGCAATCACCCTGGTAGGGGTCTATTTTTTGAAGAAGAATTGAATCTTGGGAGAGGAAAATTCATCTTTTGGCTGGAGGGGCCGCGTGTTGGCTCTTAGCTGTGGTTATGATTAAAATCCAAACAATCCCAGTTCCTGGCAAATGGAAGAGGGGGTAGTATTTTCTTGTCTGACTTCCTTATTAGTCCACATGGCGCCATCTGCCATGAGCCATCTAGACTGCCAGGGTCTGCTCGATGGAGCCTGTGGGCTGGGGCGTGGGGATGGGTTGTGTATTTCCAGGAAGAAAGAATTTTGGCCCTGGAGGAGAAAGGGCTCAGTGTGTTGTGGAGCCAGGAAAGCCACAGGCCAGAAGTGTGAGGTTTAAGTGACCCTCTGCAGGGACAGAAGGGGCAGAGGGTGTGCAGCAATTCCTTAACATGTTTCTTTCTGTCACTAAGGACCTCTGCTGTACCCCAACCAGCCCCTCGCCCAGTAGAGGATCCTTGCTGTAAGAATGGAAGGGCTGAGTGTCCATGACTTTTCCAGTAGGGCAGAAGGAGAAGGAAGAGGCACATCTTGAGCATCTAATGTGTGTGAGGTTCTGTCTTATCCTTGGAACAATCCTACAGGGAGGTAGCAGTGTGACCAGTGTTACAAATGAGGGATTTGAGGCTCGGCTAAGTTAAACAGGTAGTTCAAGATCACATGGCTAGTAAGTGGTATATCTGGGAATGAGTGTTATGATGTTTAATATTATCACTACCCCGATCTGCTGTTTCCAAAGACCAGGCTGTTTCTCTTACCTGACTCAAGCAACACACCCTACATGCTCGGCCTCTCCTTCCAGAAGCCCCTCTCAAGATGTCGGGTCCCTTGAGTGGAATCAAAGGAAAAAAAAACAAACAAGTTACCATCTCAGAGTTCCTGCAGTGCACCAAGACCCTTCCTCTACTTTCTCTCATTTATTTTTGTGGGATGAGGGAGATGGTCTTGGCCAAGCCCCTGACTCACAGCTTCCCCTCTGTCCAGGGGGGCGTACCTCTTATTGAGTGAATTTGAAGCATCTTCGCATCTTCCATGACTTGCATTGGAGTAACCAGCACAGTTTCAATGGCACAGGTTGGAAAAATTTGACGTGGCATTGTGCAGTGCTCTCAGAAGTTTCTGGTTATGGCAAGATTATTTTTTTTTTCCTTGCAGAGAAGATGAGACCTGTCTGTCCAAAAATCAGAGCAGGAATCAGAGAGATTGTCTTAGAGATAAAGAATGAAGTAGGAAGAAAAGAAGCTTAGATTCTGAATCTCAAGATACAATTTAGGCAATGGGAAGAGGTCTCAGAGGATGTAGACCTACAGCACAGAAACACTCCAGCAGTGCCCTAAGGATCCTTAATGTATCTTGAACAGGCTTCTCTGAATACCCTGCATGCATGGAGCAGACATGATTAAAATAGATTGGAGTATTTCATTTTCTTTTAAAGGAAAGTGATAATTACCTCTAGTATCATTTGAAGATTTAATCAGCTTGGTAAAATATTAACTCAGTAGCGGGGATGGGTTTGGGCTGGTCCTGGTGCATTTCTCTTCCCAGTCTTGGCCGTGATGACTTTCTACCGTTCTTGGAGACGTCACTAAACAATAATGTTACTAATAGTATTACTATAGTGATCATTTCTGGCCTCTTAATAGCTTCTTTTTGTTCCCAAATCATGCTAACATATATTATCATGAATCCTCCTAATAAATTTGTGAAGAAGGAAGGTCAAGCACAATGATCTCCATTTTGCTGGTGTTAAAAGAGAACCTTAGAGAGTTAAGTTATTAGCTGTATTCATTTCCTAGGCTGCGTTAACAAATTACCACACACTTGGTGGCTTAAAACAATAGAACATTATTGTTTCACCATTCTGGAGGCCAGAAGTTTGAAATAAGGGAGTTGGCAGGGCCACACTCCCTTCAAAGGCTCTGCGGGAGAACCCGTCCTTGCCTCCTCCAGCTTCTGGTGGCTCCTGGTGTTTCTTGGCTTGTGGCAGCATCACTTCAACCTCTGACTCCATCTCACGTGCCTGCCATCCCTGTCTCTTTGTCTTTAATCTCCACCTTCTTTCTTTTTCTATTTCATTTTATATTTTTGAGACAGTCTCACTCTGTAGCCCAGGCTAGAGTGCAGAGGCATGATCTTGGCTCACTGCAACCTCCGCCTCCCAGGTCCAAGTGATTCTCCTGCCTCAGCCTCCCAAGTAGCTGGAATTACAGGCGAGCACCACCATGCCCAGTTAATTTTTTTTTTTTTGTATTTTTAGTAGAGATGGGGTTTCACCATGCTAGCTAAGCTGGTCTCGAACTCCTGGCCTCAAGTGATCTGCCCGCCTTGGCCCCCCAAAATGTTGAGATTACAGACATGAGCCACTGCGCCTAGTATTTCTTTTTTAAGGGTACCAGTTATTGGATTTAAGGCCCACCTGAAATCGAGAGTGATCTTATCCCTTGATCCTTAACTTGATTACATCTGCCAAGACTCTATTTCCAAATTAGGTCACATTCACAGATACTAGGGTTTGGACTTGGATATATCTTTTGGGAGGACTCAACTAAACCCAGTGTATTCACTTGAAATGATACAGCTGTCCCAACTCAGATCTTTGGTTTGTGTGCTTTTCCTACCATCTGACTGTTGTTATCTCAAGGAGGCCTGTGCTGATGGCTCCATCCTTTGGGGATCCTTTTCTGGGTGACAGCAGGGCTGTCCTGGCTGATCTGGGTCCCCTCCTCATTTTCCACTGCCTGGCCCCAGGACTGTCACTGGAAGTGTTGATGCTGTGCAGGGAAGAAGAAAACCACTAGAGTGATGACCGGAGGGAATCAGTGTTTTCTAAATATCCAGTGGTGGCCTTGGCTGTGCTGCAAAGTGCCTGTCCTTACAAACTCAGATGGGGCTGAGTTAATATGTGGGGAGCCATCAGAGCCCTGCGATTAGGCCCCAGGCCATCTTGGGGCAAGTGCCGGGTGTTGGTAAGCTTTGCCTTGCAGCAGCTGCTGCTGTATTATTAATGCGACTGCCTGCATTATTCATGAAGCATGGAAAGCCATGCTTTAGGTTCCGCAGGACTGCCCCCAAAGTCCTGGCTAAAGGCTCCCCTGCTTGAGATCTGGTTCAATGGGAGGAGGGACACAGGATGGACAGCATCATTTAGATTTAGGATGTGCCGGTCTTTGCTTCTTGCCCACCTCACCATTTGAATCCTCTCTTGTCCGGATATAAAGACGATTGTGGATTTGCTCAGTGGGCTGTCTAGGGTGTCATTGTTTTAAGACTCAAAATGTTTTCTGCTGTGTGTGTGTCTTGTTCTCTTGGAGGAAAGTCCAGAAGGATGGGGGGAATACCCCACAGTTCTTTTGCAGTTTCCCATAAACTCAGTTGGAACAAAGGACCAGGTTTCAAGGTGCATCCCATCTGCTGGATCAGGTCCTGTAAGCAGGACCCTGGGGGGAAAGGATGGAAGGAAGCAGAAAATTTGTACAAAGCCTTTGCCTGGCAGCATCCTTGGCACATCCCAAACATCTCACCTAATTCTCTGGCCAGCCTCAGGACATTCTCATGCTGTCTGCCTTTGGGGGGCCATGAGATGCTGGGATGTGCAGCAGTGCAGGGACCAGACAGGAGGCAGCACAGCATCAAGTGCTGTGTGGCTTGCGGCAATGCAGCCAAGCCCCTCGCCTGTCTAGTCTTTTCCACCCAGGTGGATAATTTGTATTTTTACACCTACTTAATAATGAATGACTGCATCTTGTCAAGTGAGCAGCTGGGAAAACCAGGCTGACCTGGTTCAGTTCACATATATTCAAGCATCTGGACCCTCCTTGTCATTCTAGCAGGGTGGCCAGGCCTCTCCTTGCAGCCCCTGCAGTGTGAGCCCACACTGCTCCACCTCCTCTGGCCTATCTTTCCTGCATACACTGGGCAGCTCATCTGGCCTTCTGCTCTTCTTGTCATGAGGGTTACGTGAAGAAATGCGTGGAAGACATTTAGTCTAGTGTTGGCACTACGGCAAGTGCGATGCTAATATTATGATCCTATAATGTCTATTATGTTCGTCTCATTTTTTCCTGTCTACCTTTTCTCTTTTCTGTGTCTCATGTCCAGCTACACAGACATCTTGACATAACCCCAAGGCAACACCTCCAAGGCTTCTTGACTTGATCCTTCCCTTTCCCCTTCTAGGACCTTGGTCTGTCCCTCCCCAGCCTCACCCCCATCCCAACCTCATTCGTAATGTGTCCTCTCTTCCTTTCTGCTGGTTCTTTTCTTTCTCTTCTGTTTTCAACCAAAGACAGTTCTCCCTGCCGTTGATTTCCTGTCTCTTGGAGCTTAAAATCTTGGGGTCATCTTTTGCTTTTTCCTCTTCTTTTATCCCCTACAAAGCACCACGTACCATTTTGCCTTCCTTGTGATGTTAACTGGATCTTCTCTTCCCTCTCTCCAGTTTTTCCCACTCCACTCTAGGCCCATATTAACTAGGCAGCAGTTCTCAAGTGGTGGTCCAGGGTGTCCTGGGGGGGCCCTAAGACCTTTTCAGGAGACAATGAAATAGAATCTGTTTTCATAGTAACACTGAGCCATTATTTGCCTTTTTCACTCTCATCCTCTCATGAGCATACCGTGGAGTTTTCCAGAGGCCACAGGACGTGATAACATCATTGCTCTGATGATGCATGGAGTTTGTGCTAATGTATTCTGGAGTTTTACATCTTTCTCAGTGTTAATTTCTAATTGGTAGATACTGATAGATATGACTCACATAAACAACAGCTCTTTGAGGCCGTCAGTAGTTTTGTTTGAGAGTGAATGGAGTTCTGAAACCAAAAGTTTGAGAATTGACCTGGACCCTGCCAGTCTATATGGTGCCTATGTGTGAGTTAGAAAAGATGCCCCATCTGGGTGCATGTAGCCACGTGCCAGGGTTACAGCTGGGTCTGGCCAAGAGTGTACAGAGTGGATTTTATCCTCTGTCTATCCCTTTGGTTGAGTACTTTGAGAAATGCTCAAACTACACAACTGTACGTGTTGACCCTGTGTTTATAAGCAATCTTAACCAGCTTCTCAATCTCTAGTTTTCCTCCTCTCCAGCTTATCCTATACACTATTGTTGGATTTCTCTTTTTACAGACCTCTTTGTTCACATTGTTCTCCAGTTCTAGAGGCCTCAATGGTTTTCCCTGCCTCCTGGATGAATTCCAAATTTCCTGATGTGGCAGTAAAAGTCCTCTCTTATCTGGCTTCCACTCGCCCTTCCAGCTTTGTTTCCCAGCACTCCTTGACACATTTTCTGTCCTGCTAAGCCTTTCTTTTCTGTTTTCACACCTCACCTACAACTTCCCTTTGCCTTTGTTACTTCCTTCTACTTACCCCCACCCCCCACACTCCCCCCCTCCCACCCCAACATGGTCTTTGCCTATATGAGCTCCTGAAGTCAGGGCTCCTAGCTTGCTCCTCTCTGCTTCTCTCTTGCACCCAGCAATGCCTTGCACATGACAGATGGGGTGGAGAGTGCATGAGTTTTGAAGTCCAGCACACTGAGGTTTGAAACTGTGCTGTCTTGCACACCAGCCAAAGACCTTGCACATGTGACTTAACCCCTCCAAACATCAGAGAGGGCCCCTCCCTCCTTGCAGTTCTGACCATCTCCCAGGGTTGTCGTAAGAAGCAAATGCTCAGTAAGGGTTAGTTCTTTCCCTTCACCTTTCTGACAGAGTACCATGTGCAGAGAGTACTTTTAGGCTAAGAGGATGATACCACATAGGGGTATTTGCACATTCTGCCTCCGGTGTCCTAGTAACTAGAAAGCACTGATTCTTTTCCCCAGGAGCCTCACGTTTTCCTGAAAGCTGATTAATTTTGATGCATGCTTAACTATTTTGGAGTTTTCCAGTTGTCAAAAATATCCTAGGTCTTAGTGCGGTGTGCCCAAGTGCCCCTCCCTCTGGTTTCCAACAGATTCATCTCCTTGATGGTCCAGAAAGAGAATCATGTTTCCTCTAATGATCCAGGCATTCAGATTTATCCGGTGCCCTTTACTCTGAGTTTTGGATTGATTAATGCTGTTCATTGTCTCCTTAATAATCCCATTGAGAGGGGAGGTGACTTGCTTCAAGTCATAAGGAAAATCAGTAGAGAAGGAAGTCCTTGAAGGTGACTCTTCCCCTATCAAACATTCTTCTTCACCAGGCTGAGTGCTCCTGGAGGACAGGGACTGTCTTCTTCATCTCTGTGTCAGCAGCACTCAGCCCATGGCCAATTATGGAGCAGGTGCTTATTAAGAATTTATTGAATTTATGAAAGAATAAAGCTGGTCCCAGGATGGGCTTTGAGCATATCTTGGAAATAGATAACCACCTACTCCCCCAGGGACAGTCAGTCAGTCTCGTTCTCTCTTTTTCTCTCTTTCCTTTAACAAGAATTTATATGCCAGGCTCAGTTCTAGGTTAGGGAATGAACAAAACAGGCAATGTTGCTGACCTCAATGGAGTTTAATTTTTATTCAGGGAGACAGATAAACAAACTAATTAAAAATAAATATTTAAAGTGATGCCAGTAGTGATAAATTCTAGAAAGACAAATATAGCATGGCAAGGGACTGGGCAGTGTTAGACTGAGAGAGCCAGCCTTGTAGAGATGTTGGGTAAGAGCTTGGCAGGCAGTGGAAACAGCAAGTGCAAAGGTCCTGGGGTAGGAACAAACCAGTCAACAGGTGACCTTGCAGACACCAAGGTCAGTGTGGCTGAAGAGGAGGAGGGAGTGAGGGAAGATGAGGTCAGAGATGATGGAGAATGGTGCAGATTATTTAGGGCTTTGACTTTGATTTTCAATGAGATGGAAGGCCATTGGAGGGTTTTAAGAAGAGGAGCATCTCGAGCTGATATCTCTCTCTTTTTTCTTTTTTCTTGAGACAGAGTCTTGCTCTGTCGCCCAGGCTGGAGTGCAGTGGTGCAATCTCGGCTCACTGCAAGCTCTGCCTCCTGGGTTCACGCCATTCTCCCGCCTCAGCCTCCTGAGTAGCTGGGACTGCAGGTGCCCACCACCACGCCCGGCTAATTTTTTGTTTTTGTATTTTTAGTAGAGATGGGGGTTTCACAGTGTTAATCCGGATGGTCTCGATCTCCTGACCTTGTGATCCTCCCACCTCGGCCTCCCAAAGTTCTGGGATTACAGGTGTGAGCCACCACGCCCGGCCGCTGATATCTCTTTAAAAGGATCTCTTAGACAGTTGCATGAAGTGAGGTGGATTTCTTTATTTTTTATTTTTGAGACGGAATCTCGCTCTGTTGCCAGGCTGGAGTGCAGTGGTGTGATCTCAGTTCACTGCAACCTCCATCTCCTGGGTTCAAGCGATTCTCCTGCCTCAGCCTCCCGAGTAGCTGGGACTACAGGCGTGCGCCACCACGCACGGCTAATTTTTGTATTTTTAGTAGAGACGGGGTTTCACCATGTTGGTCAGGATGGTCTCAATCTCTTGACCTCATGATCTACCTGTCTTGACCTCCCAAAGTGCTGGGATTACAGGCATGAGCCACCGCACCTGGCTGGATTTCTTTTTTTAAAAAAATGAGTTTATTGTTTTAAAACTGCAATTTATGGACTTACAAGGATTTTTCCACTTCTTTTGTAACCTTGTTAAATCCCTTCTCCCCTTAATCCCTGAACAGGTCGGGTCCCCCTTGTCCTCATAGCCCTGGGAGGGTCCTGGGCCATCTTCGGTTCAGAGGTTCCCTTCCCCTCTCTCTTTGCCGACAGGCAGTTGGAGCAGAACTTTTTCAACTGCAGCTGTGACATCCGCTGGATGCAGCTCTGGCAGGAGCAGGGGGAGGCCAAGCTCAACAGCCAGAACCTCTACTGCATCAACGCTGATGGCTCCCAGCTTCCTCTCTTCCGCATGAACATCAGTCAGTGTGGTGAGTGAGTGGCCGCCTGGCCCAGCTGGCTCCAGGGAGGCATCCCTCAGACACCAGAGATGGTGCTGGACGTTACCTTGGGATGCCAGAGCCTTCCTTTCGAAACGCCCTCCCAGCCTTGAACTCTGCAGTTGTGTGCAGACCTCCTGACTCATCATTCCCCTTCTTGGTCATTCCTGTCCCTTTGTGCACGAGCCATAGGAAGACTGGTTTCAGGAATTCACACAGGAGTTAAATGTGCTCCTTCTCATCACACCAGATTCCCTTTCTCCCTGTGAGTTACCTGTCAACCAAACCTGAAGGAGTGTATCTCAAAATGTGGTCTCTGGATTCCCTATGGCAGCAGCTTCTAAGGAGTTTCTAAAAAAGCAGATTTCTGGGCCCAAACACAGACTTTGAGAATGTCTGGGGATGGGTCCCAGAAATCTGAATTTTAAGCAAGCTCCCCATTGGGAGACTGAAACACTACTATTCAGATAACCAGAGCCCAAAGTGTAATGATGCCATTGAGCTTAATTGCCAGAAATGCATTCCCTAAGCACTGCCCCCACCCCGCAACCTGCCGCTGCAATGTGGGAGACTGCAACTGCATGGGCTTCAATTCTGAGTTCTGATGTCTACTGGGGAGGTGATGTAAAGCGTCTTGGATTTGCGGGTCTTCCAAGAACTCAAGCAGGTGGTGTTAGAGTCATTACTGGGCAAGGCAAGAAGTGCCACCATCAGCCCCATGGACAGAGCTTCCTTTGGGTAGTAAGTGTTTGCCTGTCTTTTCACCCACTTTGTCTGGCTCCCAGACCTTCCTGAGATCAGCGTGAGCCACGTCAACCTGACCGTACGAGAGGGTGACAACGCTGTTATCACTTGCAATGGCTCTGGATCACCCCTTCCTGATGTGGACTGGATAGTCACTGGGCTGCAGTCCATCAACACTCACCAGGTAGGCATCCTGGGCTTCAGCCCCATCAGGAGGCTAGGGAGTGATCACACTGTAGTCTTGAAGAAGAGGGAAAATTTGCGGTCTTGTTACTATAGGAAAAAACACATAGACTTGGGTTACATGCAGCTGCAATATTTTCTAGCCATTTCGCTCTATACATGCTACTCAACTTTTCTGTAACTTAGGTTTTGCTTCTGTAAAATGGCCATAGTACTGAACTACCGTTCACCTCATAGGGTTAATAGGAGGATGGCCTGAACTATTGCCTATGAGGAGCCTGGCATTTGGCCAGTGTGCTTTCACACAAAGATCTCCTTCGCCTTCCGCTCAGCTTTCCTTTTGATTCCTAAAGGTATTTGGGGATTAGGTAGCAGAGCCATCCTTGTAGAAGCTATCTGATTGTTATCTTTTTATTGGGGTTTTCAGACCAATCTGAACTGGACCAATGTTCATGCCATCAACTTGACGCTGGTGAATGTGACGAGTGAGGACAATGGCTTCACCCTGACGTGCATTGCAGAGAACGTGGTGGGCATGAGCAATGCCAGTGTTGCCCTCACTGTCTACTGTAAGTGCATGTTATTGTGGGGGATGGCTGTGTGTGAGGGGCAACTGGCATAGGAGGCTGGAGAGGGGCCAAGGTGTTGTCAGGGGTGAGCTAGAGCAGTGAGCTGATCTACCAGTAGGGACAGAAGGACTCTTGTAGGGCAGGACTGAGAAGTAAGTCCTTGGACTAAAAACCCCAGAAAGAGCACCTTTGTCCCTCAGAAGATGGTGTGGCTCCAAGTCAACTACATCTTCAGGACACTTCTAAGTTGGCCTATTCTGCCTTTTATGAAACCCCTAAGAGGTCCCAAGAGGGAGCCCTCCAGCTAAGGTGGATCTAGGAAGCTTGCATAAAGACAGACATCTCTTCCCCTCTGCTGGGATTGTGGTGGGACTTCTGCTTCCCTCAGCCTTTTCAGAGTGGGTGGGGAAGAACCGGGATTCCCATTTTAGTTGCTGGAAGGCTACTGCAGGAGGTGGTAGACTCTGTGTCCTGGATTTCAGCAGGCTTCTCCCTTGACAGATCCCCCACGTGTGGTGAGCCTGGAGGAGCCTGAGCTGCGCCTGGAGCACTGCATCGAGTTTGTGGTGCGTGGCAACCCCCCACCAACGCTGCACTGGCTGCACAATGGGCAGCCTCTGCGGGAGTCCAAGATCATCCATGTGGAATACTACCAAGAGGGAGAGATTTCCGAGGGCTGCCTGCTCTTCAACAAGCCCACCCACTACAACAATGGCAACTATACCCTCATTGCCAAAAACCCACTGGGCACAGCCAACCAGACCATCAATGGCCACTTCCTCAAGGAGCCCTTTCCAGGTGAGGGCAGCGTAGCTGGATCGGAGGTGTATGGATTCTTTCTACAAGCTTGGGAGATGGGGCATGGTAGCTTGAGAGGAGAAGCAGCATCAGTACTCATACTGTTATCATGGGCAACAAAACACACACTGGAACATGTGCAACCACCAGCCGCATCTGGTATAAACAAGGATAGAGTCTCCATTTTCCAATAGCAGTCATGGTAACCAAGACTTCTTAGAAATAACAGTTGTGCATGTTAGGGCACACTGTATGATAGTAGAGAAAGCAGAGACAGTAATGGTAGAGAATTCTGACCCAGCCCTTTACTTGTGGGGAGACTCTGGGCCTGATAGTTTGCTTTTCTAAGCATCAATTTCCTTTTCTATGAAATAGTCATGATTACACTGCTCCTGTGACTTTTAAATGAGTCAAGGTATATAAAGCACGTCACAGGGTTTGACACCTGATGATGGTTCCGGGATTTCCCATTGCAAAGGACTTGAGAGTGTGTCCAGTTTAACCCTCCATTTAACGGATGAATGACCTGATCCTCATTCTACTTGCTGATCTGTGACAAGGTTTGACTTGGATCTAGGCCCCCAGGTCTGTGGCTTCATTCCTCTCTTGTTCCATGGTGAGCTACTGTGGGTCATACCTGATGCCCTCAGCTTATGATAGTGCTAATGTCAAGTGGACCAGGAAAAATTATTGAAATTACTGAAGAACTTTGCTTGATTTGATTTTGGGAGTTGATTCTGTCTTTCTCTGTCTGGGCTAAGATGCTTTAAATATCTCCCTGAAGTTGGAGGAGAAAAAAACACCAAAAGAGTTTAGTGAAAGTGATTGTAGCATCTTTTTGTGGGTTCCGCAATTGATAAGTTTTGCCCATAAAGCCATGTGTCTTTGCTGAGCTTGGTGCTTCATTTTGGGAAGTGACTAGGAGACCTTTGGTCTTCAATCCCTAGGAATCAGGAGTTCTAATGGGATACAGTGTAAAAACTGATAAGACACATACACACATGCACATGCATGCTCACACACGTGCACAAAGGGAAAAGGCAGAAAGAGCTAGCAGTATGTAGCATCTGTTTTTATGAAGTCAACTTCACAGTCTACAAATTACCAGGGTGTGGCAGCTCCAGGAAGCTTTATTTATGTCAGTGCAAGGGAACTCGTACTGGAGGCCCTGAGAGTAAAGTCGGAGAAATGTGGCTGCATTAAGCTAAATTCTTGCCGTTGAGGTCCCAGGGATGATGGAGCCGTCTTTTCGGAGGCAGTTGAGAATGTGCAGATGTTTGAGGCCCTGGAAATCCCATGTAGTCTGAAACTTCCATCATCCCCAGAATGCTCAGTAAAAGCCCCCATGACACTTCCCCTCCTGGGTCACACTGTGCTCTCTTTCAGCAGGTAGATGAGTCCTGGCCTGCACAGTGGAAGAAGAGGCTTTTAGAGCAGAGATATTTTGCTCTTATGGTCTACAAGGGCAGGCTAGGTCTTGTTGACATAAAAGACTGAAACGTTGCCCTGCCTGTGGCCTGATTAGAGAATAAATTCTGTTTTTAAAGAGGAAAGTCTATACATTGTTGAGGGAAAGTCTTGATTGGTGAGGAAATGAAGCACCCTGAAGCAATGTTTCTGTTTCCAAAGAGAAGCTTCTGGGGCCTAGGGAGGGGGGAACCCTAGAATGCTCAGGAGGGAGGAGAAGACACTCTGGCTCCTTCTGCCAGGGGTATCCTGAGAGGTGTGGGGTAGCAGCAGCAGTTGGATGATGTGGTGGATACAGCTTCTCCGTTCTCTCCTTTGTCTCAGGAGGAAGCAATACTTTGCGTCTTCTCAGCCCTCAGAGCTATCTCAGAGATACCTCCTCTGCCCCCACGAGATGCAGCAGCCCCTTCTGTTAGTCTCTGGATACCCTTGTCACCATAGTCAGTTATCAGTGCTCCTCAGGCCAGTGGTTCTCAAAAGTGACCTTTGGTCCATGGACCAGCCCCATCCACCTCACCTGAGAATGTGTTAAAACTTAAGTTCTCAAGCGCCACTCACATCTACGGAATCAGAGATTCCAGGGTGGGGTCTAGCAGCTATGTTTTAACAAGCCCCCAGGTGACTCCAGTACTCCCTCCTTTGCAATCTACTACCCTGGAATTGAGTGGGAATCTGGCCCCAGGAGGATGGAGGGAGGATAGAGTCACAGAGAAACTCAAAGAGAAAGCACCTCACCTGAGGTCATTTCCTCAGACCCATCTCCATCCTGCTAGGGTCACCCTGTGGGAAGATTTGCTTGTTTTGTGAGTCTAGGTTAAAGGGATCAATGGGTGATGAAAAGGCAGTGACAGGGAAACGATGCCAAGTGACAAGATGCTTAAACGCTCAAGAGAGTCAATTATCTGGGGGTGCAGGAAGAGATGAGTCATAGCCCTCTAAACCGAACTCACCCCAGCTAAGCCTAGATGCAAAGCTGGTCTGTGATTCTTGCTCTTCTCTTTTGATGTGAAAGTGTGGAGACATCGTGATTATCATGTGTGTTTCTCTTTTGCTTCCAGGCAGCTAAGCATGGAGGCTAAGAGCAGGCAGTCTGAAATCAGACAGACTTAGGTGCAGGTCCCATCTGTGGCCCCTCCCAGATAGCCCTCCCATCTGGTGGCCTGGGCTCCTAGCATGGGGCTTAGTGCAAGGCCAGTACTAGATGGAGGACAATCACTTCTCTGTGCCTCTATTTCTGTATCCATGAAATGGGAATGATAATATCTCCCATCTAAGCTACCATGAGACTTAAAGGAAGTTATGCCTGCCAAGTGCATAGCAGTGCGTCTGGACAGAGAAAAGGCTTACTAGCTGTGGGCCATTGTTAAGATTCTTAGGATGTAGAGCTGAGATGAATTCAAGAGTTCTAGAACCAGTAGTCATTTTCTGGTCAACCTAGTAAGTTCTAACAGATAATGTTAAGGTAGTCTAGGCTAGTTGTCATGGAACCACGTTGCCAGGGCTCTGACTCTGACTCAATCACTTGTCAGCTCTGTGACGTCAGGCAAATTGCTTCACCTTCCTGCTTTTACCTTAAAGGTTGTGGTGAAGATTAATTTACAGAAGGGGCGCTTCTTGAAGAGTTATGGTCTGGGACTGTAGGAGACATGTGTATTCCCTTCATGGCACAGCCCCAGTTCATGTCCAGATTGTTCCTTGGTGTGCTGGACAAGCGCTCCTCCCAGCCTGCTGGTGCAGTCAGAGGTGAGGACCAGTCCTGGGTACCATCCTCTTCCAGGCTGAATGCCTGAACCCTCCCACAGGTTAGAGAGGAGTCAGGATGTCTCCTTCTTCCAAAGCTTATGTGCTTTCTGGATGTATAAATGCTTCCAGGCCCTGGCAAAGGCCTTAAACACTCATAGGCTGATTTGGAGATAACAGGGTTCACAGACTTGACCAAAACATTTGGCTAACGTGAGAATATTCTCTAATAAATGGGAGCCTTATGAGACATATGCAAATGAATGTAAACTGCGAATTGATCTGGCACCTCTCTTCTCTCAGGCTCTGAAACCCAGGCTAGAGCTTCCATTTCCTCCATCCTCCCCCTGCCCCAGTCAGGCTTCTGGTCACCTGCTGTTGAGAAGAGGGTGTTGGCACGAAGGGTATGCCCAGGAATGTGAAGATAGTTCTGTGACCATCCCCCAAAACAATACAGAACAGACAACAAACAAGCAACCGAACTGCGTGTACCATAAGTAAGGCTTTCTTTGAAGGACTCCATCACAGAAAGTATCCGATTCCCCACAAGTAGTTAGAGAATATCTGCTGGTTCATACTTAATAGAGCTAAGACTGTGAGGGCCCGCAATGAGTGAATGAATGGGTGAATGAATGAATGAATACACTTTTACTTTTCAGGGCATGGTGGGCTGAGGCAGGAGGCTGTGTAGTATTGATATAGTGCATTCCAAAGGGAACAGCAGCATCAGCGTCTGCTGAAAACTTGTTAGAAATGCAAAATCTTGATACCCACCCCAGGTCTACTGAATTAGAAACTCTAAGGTGAGGACTAGTAATCTGTGTTTCTTTTTAATTTTTAAAGATTTTTAACTTTTCATTTTGAAATAGTTTGGAATTCATATTTTAAAAAGTTACAAAATCATACAAGGCACTTCCTTCCACCCTTTGTCCAGCTTCCCCAGATGTTAACATCTTACCTAACCACGATGCAATGATCGAAACCAGGTTGTTAACATTGGTCCATCACTATTATCTAGTGTACAGATGTGAATTACATTTCATCACTTGTCCCATTGATGCTTTTTCCTTGTCTAGGATCCAATTCAGAATTACACACTGCGTTGAGTTCCTGTGTCATCTCACTCTCTTTAAATCTGGGACAGTTCCCTAGTCTTTGTCTTTCATGATCTTGGAACTTTGCAAGAATACTAGTTTTTTTGTAGACTGTCTTTCCATTTGGAATTTTCTGATTTTTTTCTTAATGATTAATTTCTAGCTATGCATTTTTGGCAGGAACTCTGCAGAAGTGATGCTCTGCCCTCTCAGTGCATCGTTTCGGGGGCGCGTGATGTCGATAGGTTTTGGTACTGGGGGTGTTGACTTTATTACTTGGTCAAGGTGGTGTCTGCCAGGTTTCTCTGCTGCAAACAGATGATTTTCCCCTTTGTAAGAAATCAGTATAATATTTTTAAACTACATAAATAGCTTGTTTCTCATCCTTCTTTCACACTCTAACATTCATTGATGATTCTTGCCTGAAACAATTATTACTGTAATATTTGTGAAATGGTGATTTTTCTATTTTTATCATTCCTTCTACATTTAAAAATCAGAATTCTCTTGTAAGGAAGAGCATTTCATTCTTCCACCTTTTATTTATTGAATTGTTTATTTGTATCAATATGGACTCATGGATATTTATTTTGTTCTATGGCTGGTAATTCATGTATTCGTTTGCTAGGAATGTCACAGCAGTGAAATACCATAGACTGGGTGGCTTAAACAACAGAAATTTATTTCCTCACAATTCTGGAGGCTGGAAGCCTGAGATAAAGGTGTTGGCAGGGATGGTTTCTCCTGAGGCCTGTCTGCTTGGCTTGCAGATGGCAGTGTTCTCTTTGTGTTGTCATGTGATTTTCCCTCTGTGCGTGTGTGTTGACGTTCAAATTTCCTCTTATAAGGACATCAACCATATTTGATTAGGACTCACCCTAATGGCCTTATTTTAACTTTAATACATCTTTAAAGACCTTTTCTCCAGATAGTCACATTCTGAAGTACTAGGGGTTACAGTTTCTGTATATGGATTTTGGGACTACATAATCCTAATCCATAACAATCCAGGACTATCATTGTTTTGTTGCTTAAATGATCCTACATTTGGCTATTGAGATCCCCTGTACATTGGCTCCTGTGCCCTGTCTCCAGGCCTCCATTAATCTTTGAGCACTTTCTTACTTTTTAGTATTACAAGCCATTCCAGGCACATGTTGTACTTTCCCTGGTCCGGCCCTGAAATCATCCATTTCTCCAAGGAATCCTCACTCCTTTTATTGGATGTTGGTAGCAATCACCATCTGGGTGCTTCTGTTGTGTGCTAAAGTTTGAGCATTTCTGGTAGAGTGGGCAAGAGCCTGGACGGAGATTTGAATTCAGCTCTAATTTCTTCTTAAATGAGTGACATCCAATTAGTTACTTAATCTGTATAAGCCTGTTTCCTTATCTGTTAAGTGGGGATAATGCTACCACCTCTTAGAATGGTAATAAGGATTGAGTGATGTGCTACATGAAGCATTTAACACCATCCCTCGCTTATAATCAATGTGCAATAAGGATTAGCTTTCATTATTAGTTGAGCTATTTCTAGAGACCAAAGATCAAATAACATGTTACCATCTGCAGGACGGGCAGATTCTAGAGGGATTCTCAAGAACTTCTCAGTGACCTGCTAGAATCAACTCTGCATATTACTTTGAATAAGTTTATCTTGAGATCATACCTGGCATTTTCAAAGAATGTCTAGGGGAGCCCACCCTGTCGCCCCATTCCCAGCACTTTGGGTCCTTAAGAAAGCAGAGCTGTGAATGAGACAGAGGGTCTAGTTTTAATTCCCTATCATCTCATAATGAACCTGGTTTGGTTTCTCGTTCCTAGATGGGCCACCTCCCTTGAAACCAGGAACTTTATCTCTCATTCCTTCTCCATTTGGAGGACCACCCCCTAAACTGGTAGTGTAGCATGGGGAGACGGGTGATGTGCCATGCATTTTAGTTTGTCAGTTGCCATGAGAACAGGGAATCATGGTGAATGGGAGAGATCATAGCTATTAGGACCAAGTAGTGTGTCTGTTCTGGTTTTTATTAAATTTGTTAATTATCTCTTTGTCCTTTTTTTGCAGAGAGCACGGATAACTTTATCTTGTGTAAGTCTGCTTTACCTGTTGCTTTGAAACTGATTTATTCTGATACTATCGGTAACTATTGAATTCAAATAGCCCTCTCTCCTATTCCACATCATCCCTGGCCCATGGCAGCTGAGGGCATCTGAGTGAACTGTGAAAGGGAAATGAAGGGTAGCAATGCTTTTTAGGCAGTTCCAAGCCCACTTTTCTTGGGTAATCACTCTGTGGTTCACTATCCCCCAGGGAGTTTTCTAATGTCTGATGATGTTGTGGATCTCTTTACCTGGATAAAGAGGGGCTGTGTGAGGATGGACATGGGTTTCATGTGCCTCAATAGACCCCTATTGATCATCTTAGTTGTTCTTGCAGAGAGAATATGGAACCTATAAACCTGCTAGTGTTTCTCACCTGCTTCAGGAGCCTGAGCACTTGGCCAGGACTCGCCTCATGAGAGCTTGACTTACAAGGTTTCCTGATAGGCTCATGTGTCCTCAGAAGGAATTATTGAGGCTCAGTTTATAAGTGATTTGGGGCTAGGGCTAGACAATCCTAAAAGAATTTGGGGTTTTGTTTATGGACTGTAGGGAAACCTGTGTTTATTCCTTTTTCTTTTTTTTCTCCATGGGAGGTGGGAATAATAGCAGCAACTGCTGCCATTTTTGCCTCGTGTCTGGCTTGAGATAATAGGTGCTGTTTAGAAACACCCTCGGCTTTCTGGCACTGATGTCAATATCTGTGATTTCTTTAGTTGTCTTCAGCCTTAGAGGACTTGTAATCTTGCAGAATATTCCTTCAGAGAATTCTGAATTGGGGCCATTTCTTGTCAAGGAGGTGATTCTAGATGGTGGAGTGAGGGGAAAATTGATACTTAGCTTCCCATCCTGGCCTTGCTGGGTAAAGGTGGTGTTTCCCGGTCAGATGGTTCTATTTTTTTAACTTAAGCTGCCCTTGTGTTCTGAAATCAGTGTTAGGGGAATGGATAGTGGGCTGATTGATGGATCCCCAGGCCTCCTGGATCTCACTGAGGAGTAAAGAAGGAAAGAGGGAGGGCACAGGAAAGGCAGGGAGAGGAAAAGGAATGCCTGTGGCAAGGAGTAGCAGAATGTCAGCAACAGCTGCCACCACCAGTAACATTTGCCTAATCCAGACCCTGGCCAGGATCCCAAACCATGTTTCTTTTTTTCTGTTCTATAGCTCATGGCCCAAGTTGCCCAGGTTATGTTATTTTCTCTGGGGTTGGGGCAGGGAATGGGACTGAATGTCCTTTATTCCTATGGAGCCTGTGCTTGAACTGTAACACCAGCCAGATGGTCAGATAGGAACCTGGTCTGTGGGGGTGGGGGGTCCTGCAAAGCCTGGGGAAGGCAGACTGCAAGAGCCTGGCTTTCAGAGGATGTTCTGCAGGGGGAAGTCTCAAGGGAGCTTGGGAGTTGGGCAGGGACTGTGGCTGAGCCTCCCCAGCCGGGAAGCTAACTGTCCTCCTCCTTTTTGTGTTTGGTTTTCAGTTGACGAAGTGAGTCCCACACCTCCTATCACTGTGACCCACAAACCAGAAGAAGACACTTTTGGGGTGAGTCACTTCTTGGTCAAGAGGAGTGTGTTGACTGGCATAGTCATTTTCAGACTTCATTTGTGTTGCTAACTTTTCCAAATATTATCTTACTTGAAACTTTGAAAAAAAAAAGTAATGAATTGAACTACGTTCAGGCAGTTTAAACCTTCCTTGTTGGATGGAAATAGTTCATTGTTTGAGGAAATGTTTGACGATCTGCTCCAAGCCCTAGGGTTCAGAAAATCCCCAGTCTGTTAGGAGCCCAGCTGGGCCTGATTTGCAGGGGCTGCTAACTGTACAAGTTTCCTACAAAAGGCCAAGTTGCTCAAGGCATCTCCTTGGGTGTGTTTTCAAGCGCCCACTCCTACTATTTCAGAGCCTAAGATTACTCTGGGGAGGAGGAGAAAGGATTCTTTTTAGAATCCAGATCTTTTCGACTTTCCTGGATAAGAATGTTATATAAGGAATTTTAACATGAAGATGCAGAATTCACTTGCTAATTAAAACAAAATCAGACGCCTCTCTAGGCTTGTTTTTGCATCTGTTAGAATGGCCCCAGGTGAGAAGGGGCTCAGAACATTGAATCGTGGAACTTTCTCTAATCAAATTGGGTAATTTATATACTTTTAAATGTTCTAAGGGTCTCATATATTTCTTCTTCTAAAGACCTTACTCAGTATTGCAGTTCTGAGAAGGCTACAATTACTATGGCAGTAGGACTGTTCTTATCTGGGCACACACATTATTTTCAAGGAAATTGGGTTTTCTGTGATTGTTGCTGACTCTCTGTTTCTGGTTCCTCACAGGTATCCATAGCAGTTGGACTTGCTGCTTTTGCCTGTGTCCTGTTGGTGGTTCTCTTCGTCATGATCAACAAATATGGTCGACGGTCCAAATTTGGAATGAAGGGTAAGGTGGGAGTTTCATTTTCAAGGGCGTCATGGGGGGAAACATTACTGCTTTTGATCAAAAGATACTGTTTTAATCTCCCATTGCTCTCTGAGAGGGCCTCCGGTCATGGGGTCTAACTGGTACTGATGGAAACTCCTGTTTGCCGCTTGTTCTTGGTAATTATGGATTGAAGGCAGTGTTGGGATCTGTGGGAACCAAACTGTAGATCCACATGGTTTTGCTTTGACTGCTGATAAACATTGCTTAGAAGGGCTTATGCAATGAGGATAATTTGGAAAGGAAGTTGGATTTCAGGGCAAATGAAGACGGACTTTGGTTTATTTTCATTACGGGTGAGTAAAGGGACTCCTAGTTTGAGGACACGGTTTTCCTCTTGTTTTTGAAGTTGTGTTGGGAAGGCGTCAGCACAGCAAGATGTAGGGTAGACTCCGGCATTGAAAAGCTGCCCATGCAATGGGATCTCAGCACGTAGCTCTACACAGAGTCCCAGAGTGGATGCCAAGAGCAACATGATTTCTAAATCTGCTGGCTGGCTTCCATGACATACAGTGCTCCACTCCACTGTGGCAGGGTGGGGTGGTGGGATATGGCTCTTTGCCAAGGCTCGGGTAAGGGGACTGGCATGAAAGGGGTTAACATGGTGAATTAGCATCCACCTGCCTGGTCTCAGAGATGGATGTGACCAAATGGTTCAAGAGAGGCTGGGTACCAGTTCCAAAACAGAAACTTGAATTTCAAGATATACTCCCAGCTGGGGTTTCCATGTTTGGCGATGTTGGGTGGGGGTGGGTAGGGAGGCATGATACGAGGTTTGATAAGTTATCAGTTTGCTGAGCCAGGACTCAGGTTGGTGTTATCTGGTGAGACTATGGGATGTGTAGAGAGATGAATTTCTATGGATTCTCTGCATGAGCTTGTGTCTGTGGTTGGGGACCTTGGGGCTTAGGGACTGAAGAAGAGTACATGAATGGCATTCACAGGGACGGTGATCCTCTGAGTTGTATGCAAATGTTGGAGTGTTTGCGCATGGAACCGAACTAGTCCATAGCTTTCGCTATATTCTCAGAAACCTCTGTAACTCCTTGAAAATTCAGAACACTGATATATAGGGAAATACCCAGAGAGGATTAGAAGGGTAGAAAACCCTGTAAACCCAGCTACTCAGGAGGCTGAGGTGGGAAGATTGATTGAGCACAGGAGGTCAAGGCTGCAGTGAGCTGTCATCACACCACTGCATTCCGGTCTGGGCAACAAAGAAAGACCCTGTCTCAAAAACAAACAACAAACAAAAAATGGGTACAGGGTGCCCTGTTTCCAGAAGATTTCTGCCTTTGCACTCTCTGCTCTTGATGAACCTGATCAACTCACAGCAAAGCAAGCTAGTTTTTCTTAAGTCATCTGAGATATTTTGACCAAGAGAAAGACATGTGCAGGCAAATTATAAAGGTGGATGGAAGTTTGGCTGGAATCCAGATGACTTAAACAAAATCAGACCACTTTTAGGCACCTAGATTGGAGATGTCTTATCTGCAAACACAACATGCCAAACAAGGCTTTCTAGATCTAGAAGATGAGACGACCACTGAGTGAGCGCACAGCTTTCAATCTTTGGATAATTCTTGGGCTCCTGGTTTTGAGGACTGGCACTATTATTGCCTGTGCAAAGTTTTCCTACCATGCAGGGAGCTTTTATAGCTCTTCCTCCTTCCACCTGAGAAAACATCAGGGCCTTGACCAAAGGGAAGAATGGGGCATTGTTGCTCTTCCCCTGAGGAGGCGCACCACCAGCTGAGACCCTGCGACATGCTTGGCAGTGCTGTAAGAGCAGATTTTTCCTATTAATTGTCATCCTGTTTCTGGAACAGCATGTCCCCATGTCGGATGGATTAGGCAGCACCCAGGGTGGTTCCTCCCCTCAGCTGTCCTCAGAGCTTCTCCCAGCCCCTGCTCCCCTCTCCCAGGCAGACCTTCCTTTCTTGGCCCTGGTTGGGTCAGGAGAACATGTCCACGTAGGTGGAAGTGAAATATCCTCTATTGTAAAGTCGGGCAACTTAAAGTAAGTTATACTGGAGTTATAGGCAAGATGAGATGGTGTATCTAAGACTCACCTTGTTTAGAATTAAGCCTGAATCTCTTTCATCTTTATGAAGCCAGATTATGTTTGGGTCTCACTTTAGGATAAATAAGTGCAAAACAAAAATAAAATTCTAAGCCCCCCAACCATCCGAATGCATCCCTCTTCTCAACAAGGGCATCCCAAAGTTAACCTGAAAAACTAGTTCAGACCATGATGGGAAGCAGGGAGCCATACATGCCTCATTAAACCCTCCTTCTTTTTGGAATTACTGATAGAATAGACTCGTTAAGTCTGATGAGAAACATTTGCAATCTATTCTGTCTGATGCCTGCTACCTGGAGGCTTCATCTGCATCATAAAACCTTGGTCTCCATAACCTCTTATTGAACCTTCCTATTGAAAATAACTCTTTCAACCAATTGCCAATCAGAAAATCTTTGAATATGCCTATGACTTGGAAGCCCCTGCTTCCAGTTGTCCTGCCTTTCTGGTCGGAACTAATGTACATCTTACATGTATTGATTGATGCCTTATGTCTCCCTAAACTGCATAAAACCAAGTTGTGGCCCAGCCACCTTAGGCACATGTTCTAAGGATCTCCTGAGGGCTGTGTCACAGGCCATTGGTCACTCATATTTGGCTCGGAATAAATCTCTTCAATTATTTTACCGAGTTTGACTCTTTTCTTTGACATAAGCAAATGCCTCAAGCTGCATTAACCTTTGATCTTTTATTGCCAGCGAGCATCACAGTCTTGGATAAAGAGTGATGACACCGGTACCAGAAGTTCCCTACCTTTTACTTAGGGAAAGCCTTGTCTCTTCACATCCACCCCAGTCTCAGTTTTGAATTTTCAAGTCTGGGTGAGAATGTACGATACCACTTAATTGCTCATTGGCTTCAGCAAAGTTACTACCTTCTCAGTGCCTCTGTTTCCTCAACTCCAGAATGGTAATAATACTACCTCCCTCACTGGGTTGCTGTGAGTGTCAAGATCTATGTGTAACTGGCATATAAAAAGGCTCCATGGGAACATTTCTCCCTTCTTTTCTTTATGTATAAACCTTCATAGGTTCCTTTTATTGCCTTCCAAAAAGGGCTGCCCATCCAAGACGCAATCATGCCCTCTTTTGTCCTGCACAATATTTAGTAAAATGCCTTTATTATACGCTAATCCCAGTACATTGTCATTTCTTTGCTGGTAGACCATATGTCTGTCCTACTTGACCAGGAGCGACCTATGGCAGAAATCACAGATCACTCAGCCTAGTATGCCTGAAAACACCACGCAACATTTGACAATTGCTTGTTGAATTTAGAAATGAATGACTTTAATTTTAATAATAAAAAAAGTACAGCTTATAAATTAACAATGGGCTAGTTAGAGTTAATTGGGAGATCTGAGATGTCTGGGCAGTGGGAAGTAGAGAGATGATGATAGGGAAAACTCATAAACAATTCCCCATCCACATCTGAGGGCCAGGTGTATCGATAGGGAGGGCCTACTAATAGGAGCTTTACTTCCTTCTGAGAAATAAAAAAAATACAGAAAAAGACAAAGATTAATATAACAAACACCCATATTCCCTCCACCTAGAATAAATGACTTACTGTTTTGTCTTATATTTGCATTTACTGCTTTAGTTTGGGAAGATATAAAATATGACTAAAACTAAAACCCCTTTAGTCATCCCCCTGGTCCTATTCCCATCCCCATCTCCATAGGCAGCCACTAGCCTAAGTTCAGCATCCTCCAGTTCACTGACTGAAGCTTCTTTCCCTGTATCTCTGTCTCTGTGTGTCTCTGTCAGCTGTCTCTCCCCTCATGGCTGTCTCCCAGATAAACTCACACCTCCCAGACTGCCAAATTAGCAACCACCTCTACTACATGAAAGATGAGTGGCTAAGGCTGGTAAACAGTTCATTTTCATACTTCTACCTATATGTATATGTACACATATATGCATATGTCTCTGTATATCCATATGTAGACACACAGACATGCATATATATCAGTATACTTACAAAATGCATTACTCTGTGAGTGTTTTAATTTATATTCATGCTTATACTCTGAGTAACTTGCATCTTGCTTTATTTCCTTGTCATATGTTGGAGATCTCTCTCTGTCGGTATGTGTAGGAATTCCAATGGGTGCCCATTTTATGGGAGATGAATATATTAACCAGATCTCCTAGAAACAAACCGAACATGCTTTGTCTCAGAGCCCTCCAACTGCCATGTTGATCAAAATTTTGGCTTGGGGAAGGGGTCACCTTGGGACACAAGCTCATCTTCTTTTGGAATCACAAAGGTTTTAAGATGGTGCTAAGTGTACAGTGGGGGTTTCTTTTTGCTATTGATGAAGTCTAATGCTTCAGAGTGGCAGGGGTGATTTGTGAAGTATTTGGCATGTCCTGGGCACTGCCCTATCAGCCAGCCCTCCTGCTGGAGCAGGGCCCTGGAGGTCCCCACTGTGCTAGACATTAACTCTTTGATTGTCAGATCATGGGGTGGCCAGGGTGGTTGGGAGGTGTGTACTTGTGGGGTTCAGGGCATGGGCTATTTACTGCAGCTACAGAAACATATAAAAATATTTCAGCATTTTAACAACTAACTAGAGTGTACCCTTGCATCCTGGGCCTGGAAGTGAGATGGTTCAGAATTTAGGACAAATTCATTCTCATAAAATATTGTTAAATTAGGCATTAAAAGATCATGACAGTGATCTGGCTGGGCTCTCCTGTATCCGTATTTCCAGGTGAAGAAACCGAGGCCCAGACAAGGAAGTGACTTGCTTTGGTTTGGCTGAGTTTTAGCTCCAACCTCTTTCCACAGCAACACAAATGCCCTGACTCCTTTGTCTTGGCTGCACACTGTCCACATCCATAGTGCACCATCATCATTTCACGTCGTCATTAGAACAATAACCAGGCAATAGGTGTTAGTGTGTCTGAACAATAATAAAACTTGCTCTGTAGTTTTCATATAAGGTGAGCATCAAAATTATTTAATAGAAAGTATAAGGTGAGCATCATAATTATTTAATAGAAAAAGAAGCAAGTGTGTGGATCTTTTGCAGTCTGTAAAAAAAATACATACATTATTTGGCCTCTTTTCCTCTTGACCACCTCATAAGTATCTTTAAATACTTCTAGATCAGAGATACTGTGAGAATTACTTCATACTTCTTGGCTTCCTCTTACTCCCATGAAGAAAACAGAATAATAGTTTATCAGAGCTGAAACAGACCTTAGGCTTATTAGGCTAATGTGCCCATTGTACAGCTAAGGAAACTGAGACCCAGAGAGATGCAGTGATGTGCCAGAGCACACAGCTAGCGAGAGCCTTCTGGCCCTGCTTTTCCACATACTTGACTTGTGCAGAGAACCTGGGAGGGTCAGGGAAATGAAGCTGGATTATGAATACATCAGCTCAATCCCTCCAAGGCTCTGATTAATTAACTTTGAATGCTGTGCCACTTAAATGGGGCTTTCGAAAATTCTCTTATTAATCCACTTTTTCCAACCTGGGGCACTCCTGGCCTTGGGGAAAGATAGGAGCTGATGGAGGAGTAGGCTCCAAGAACTTCCTTCATTTATTTTCAGACATGCTAGAGACTGCACGCGTGGCAGGACAGCGGAAGTGGGAAGGCCGGGAAGGAAGGGCATCAAGAACTGCTGCTTGGGCTTCCGGCAATGCCTTAAGTGCCTCATCAGCAACCACTTGCCTTTCTTCCTAATGGCTGGATGTGTGCTGGTGCCTCTGATGGGCCTGCGGATGAGCACTTGCAGGACTGTTCCATTGTAAATTAGCGTTAGTTAATAGGTACTTAAAGTAAAGTGGTTGCCTATTTGATTATGATTGGGGGTTATTAACATTTTTTTCCATAAACAGATGGTAACTGTCCTCTGAGTGGATTGTAGAATCCTGCCAGAGTCTTGATTTGGAGGGACTGGCTCCTGCCAAAAGATCTCAGGGGCTGCTGCCACATTGAACATTCTTGTTATCCTTCTGGTTTCACCGGTTGTCTAAGGGAATGATTAGAGTTGGGAAGGAGTCATTTCTGCCTTCTCTCCTAACCTTGGGGCATTGGACTGAGAAGGGTTTCTTCCAGGTGGAGGGAGGTAGGGGTGGGAGGGATCTAGGACTCCTGAGTTTTGATGCTGTAGGTTGGCATTTCTTTCTCAGCTGGAACAGAGTGTCCCTATGTCTTAGCCATGTGTGCAGAGCAGGGGAATTGGTACTGGAAGTGTGGTGTGTGATAGGAGATATCCGAGGTGACTGAAAGGGGGCTGGGACCATGGATGAAAGCACTATTGGTATTGTTGAGTAAAATAGTTTCTTTCACCCTGCACAATACACTTATTTGACTACATTTAGCAGGGGGTCGGGAACCAAGAGCAGTGCAAGGCGGAAATGAAACTGGGTAAAGGAATTGGGTTTCCTGGCTTCCCAAGATGTGTCCATTCTTTGCTCCTCCTCGTTTTCTTCCTTCTTGACTTCTTTTTCTATTTCCTCCTCTGAATTGACATGTGCAAGGGAGGAGGGTACCTTTGGCCCTTGCCATGATCCTGTACTTGGGATTCCTGGTGTAAGATGACTCTTTGAACATAATGTTGAGAGTGGTTTCTGGCTTCTTTCCTGTGTTGTGATCCCAGGGTCCTCGTATTCTCCTAACAAATGTTTGCATGCCCTCCCTCTCTTTTCTGACATTTGACAGACCTTCCAACCACCCCGCTTCCTCAAAAATGCCTAGTATTTGACAAATTCTAAATTAAAGAGGTTAGGTTTGTAGCAGATCCACAGGCAGGACATAAATTTATAGAAGCCAGGGGTCTTCTGCGTCTCCTTCTCTGCTTTGAACTTCAATGGGAGGCTCTGACTGCAGACAAAGGCCCACCCCACTTGATGACTGAGTTCTAGAATGTGGTGCTTGGAGCTTTGAGAAGGCTGTAAAGCCATGTGTGTTTTTCTGGCATGCTTTTGCTGCCCTGTCCTTTGTGGGAGCTTTGCAGGGGTGCAGTGAATCATCATAGAAGTCCCTACACGGTCACCATTGGTCGTGTGGAGGCTGAACTTGCTCTGAAGACTCCAGGGAACCAACTGTTCCCTTGCATCGACTCTCCTATTCAAAGGGAATTCCCTTGAAATAGAGGCTGATGCAAAATATTTTTCCTCTGTGGCTACCTGCTAGCTGGCTCTTCTTGGCAGGCCTCTCTATCCTGTTCAGCAGGGCCAAGGATGACCACTATGCTTGGCTCTATAGCCGAAGTGATGGCATCTCAGATTCATTGAGTGTTGGCAGCAGAGCACAGTGCTTACTGACTCGTGTTGTTGCAAATGGCTCCCACAGGGTTAACAGCCCCGCGATACCTTACCCAGTTTAGACATTCTGCACCTCTTGTCCCTTGCTACTCATGTGACAGGTGAGATCACATGCCTTATGCCCTACTGTGGATGTCACCGGGCTTTCCCAAAAGTGCTGGCTCTCACAGTAATTTTACACCTTAGGAAACTATAACAGAAGATGAGTTAGTAAATGAGATTTTAAAAGCTAAGAATAATAGTAAATTCAAACTGATTTTTGGCTTTTAAAAAGTCACAAACTTTAGTAATTTATTTTTCACCAAAAATCATGGTGACATACTTCCTCACTGATCCAGTTATCCTACAGTATCATGGTACAGGATGGAAAACCAAGAGGGGCTGGGGTTGCCAGCTTTGACTTTCTAGCATCCTTCTTTGTTCCAAATGTTTTTTACCCCCTGTAAAGTCAAGTTGTGGAAACTGCTCCAACAGACCCCCTCCTCTCTTCTCATGGAACATTCTTTCTCTCTCTGCATATTCTCCTCTGGGTCTTGGAAGCTTTCACTTGCGCGGAAGAGGCATGATGATAGGCTTTGGCTAATGAGAAGCTGTCATGTGGCTGCAGTACCCAAGACCCGCGTTTATGCAGCTCATTCTCCTGTGAACTCTGCAGAGGGCTTTAGGATGGCCAAAGAGCAGCCCTGGAAACCAAAGACAGCAAAACAGAGAGATCAAAACAACTGCTAACCAGAAAACATGTTTTTGGACTAGGGAAGAAAAACCACATGCTGAAAACAGCAGCCACCAAGCCAACGGCTGCAAATCCCCGGCCCCAGCTCCTTGACACCCACTGCCCTTTGTGCTGTGGTTCCTCATGGAGGATAAGCTGGGCAGGGGAGTAGAGAGGAGTGCACTGCAGGTGGAGGAATAGCATCCTTCAGCCAGCTGTGCTTCCAGCAAGCAGGTGTGTCTGCCACCTGTTCCAGGGAAGGAAGCAGAAGCCTGAGGCTGGTCTATCTCTGGCCCTTGCACTCAGAAGGGTTAATAACACTCCCTGTCTCTCTTCCTCACTATCCCAGCATACTTAGAGAGAGACCAACCAAGTAACTCTGGTGCCTGCTTCTTTATTGTTTTCTCTTGGATGAACTCTGTTACCACAAGCCAGAGGGAAACATGCTGCTGGCTTCCTCCCTAATGGGATCGGCTACCTAATTTGTGTGGCCCAGTGAAAAATGTTCAAAAAAGATTAGAATTTCCAGACAGCTACAGCACAGCATTAAATTCCAAGCTAAGGTTCTTTTGAGCACAGAGTCAGGTCACAGGTCCACGAAGCTAGCTCTGCTTCCTGAATACAAAATCCATCATGGCTTAAGATCCTAGCTCCTTTGTCTATCCTGAATGGTGATGAAACAGGTATTTCTGTACTTCCTTTTAGAGAGAAGCTGGGATTTGGGCGAAAGACAAGAATATCAGTTGGTTTTTCACTTCTAATCATAGTAGGGGAAGAGAGTGACAGGCATCAAACATTCATTGAGTACCTACTGTGTGCCAGACATCTAATATATCTTCAAATATAGAGACTTCATAGGTGGCTATTATTCCCACTTTAAAGATGAGAAAACTGCTCAGAATGGTTAAATCACTCAAGGTCATGTACCTGGTAAGTATCAAAACTAGATTTTAAATGAGTTTATTCTAAATTGTTGGTTCTCAATCTTAGCTGCACATTCTAAACATCTGATAAGATTATATAACTTCCCAAACCTAGGCCACACTCCAGGTCACTTAATTCAGGGGTGGGTGTTCTTTTTTACTTCCTCTGGTGATTTCTATGTGCAGCTAAGGTTGAGGAACAATGGTCTCAATCCAATAGACGTCCGCATATTTCACTGGCTCTCCAAGTCATTTATGTAGTCTGCAGACCAGCTCATCTGATAATGCTGGGAGCTTGTTCGATGTGCAGTTGCCTAGGGTTTACCCCATACCCACTGAATCAAACTTGGGGTGATTGGGGTACAAGCAATTTCTCTGAGTGATCCTGAATGATTGCTGGGGTTTAGGAACCACCATCCTATATCTGTAGAGAGACAATGGCTGATAACATGAACGGTACTTCTCAAACTTGAACATGCAAGTGAATATTGGAAGATTCTGGGGATCTTGTTAAAAATGTGGATTCTGGTTCAATAGGTCTGGGGAAGGCTGCGAGTCAACATTTGTTACAAGGTCCCAGACAATGCTGCTCTGTGGACCATGCTTTAAGTAATAAGGGGTAAAGTTACTGGTAAATACTTCAGGCCTGCGACCTGGGAACTTAGATCACCTCTCTGCTTTTTGTTTTTTCCTGAGTGCCAGTTGCAAAATGAACCTACCTCAAAGGTCTATAGGCTGGGATTTTGTGACTATAAGATTACAAACTATAACCACCATTTTTTTTTTTTTAAATTTTTGTACTTTTAGTAGATACGGGGTTTCACCATGTTGGCCAGGCTGATCTCGAACTCCTGACCTGAGGTGATGCACCCATCTGGGCCTCCCAAAGTGCTGGGATTATAGGCATGAGCCACCACACCGGGCCTCTATAACCACTACTTGTAAGGCATTTCAGTTCTATCCTCTTTGGGTAAATATGCCTCTCTTCTTTCCTAAAACTGTTTCTATAGTGGCTTCCTTGGTTCGAAACCAAACTGCCACCTCTTTCCACATGACGGGACTTGTAAGGTCTGCTGCCCCAGTTGATTTCAGTAAACTGTCAGGTCAATCAACACTGTTGCCCCCACTGAAGGAGTCTGGGCAGAAGCTCAGAGAGGCTAGCAGGCAGTGGGTAGCCAGCATTCCCAGCTCAGAGCTCCTTGAGCTGCTGTGACAGTCATTCCTCTCTTTCCTTAGAAACTTCTTTATCCTGTTTGCTCTCCCTCCCACCCCTGATCTGGAATGAAATGTTGAGGGCTATAAAAAACCGGAAAAGCTTGTGCTGGCAGGCCCCGGAGTGGCTCGGAGTGGGTCTGTCGGTGGGCGGAGGAAGCCCCATGGGTTAAGTTGGTGGGCTGCCCGGGCTGCCCGCCGGCCTCAGAGACACTGCCCTAGGTGGTGGCTGGAATCCCATTCTTCCCAGTCTTGCTGCTCTGGCGGTTGGTATTCACACTGAAAGCCTGCCCTGCCCTCCAATTTACTGCAGAATAAGAGTTGCATAGTTGGCAGAAGACCAGAGCAGTTTCCAGGACTGATAAGTCCTGGAAATGCCGAGCCTCTCTACCTGACAGGCATCTTGAATTCAAAGGGGCCTCTGTGCTGGAGCAGCCCTGCAAACCTGTTCCCAGGCAGGGGCAGAAGAATGCCAGCATCTGTCTATCTGCCAGCAGGCCTTGACATGAAGCCCCAAGGAGGGCGTCCGGGTGGTTCCAGGAACTGCCTTTCAAAAGTGAATCCTTCCAAATAAATGGAGTTCAGTGGGTTAGCCTTGGACCAGTTGAAGGAGGTGCAGAGGGGCACCCTGTTGTTGGCCTGGGCTCTAGGGGAAGCAGGCAGGATTTGAGTACTGTTATGAGCCATTATGTGTGAAAATGGCTGCCATAGCACCAGCCCGCTGCTTTGTGCCTGCTTTGCAAGGGGCATGCCAACCTGAGGGAGCTGTGTGTGCTGCTTGCTGCCTTCTGAGGAGAAGCGCTATCAGAAATCAGGGGCCATCCAAGAGCTTGGGAAAATGGACACTGTTTGCTGTTGCCCAGTGTGTAGAATGGGGTAGCCTTTCTGGAAAGTGGCTTGACAATATTTATTAAAAACCTAAAATCACAAAAGCCCATGCCTACTGACTCCACTTCTGAGAATTTAACCTAAGGTAATACTCACAAATGGCTATCTGTATTTGTGGATATGGGTATTTATCCCAGTGTGACTTACAGAGTAAACTTGATAAATAAATAATTACTTACAGATCTAACAATAAATGACTAGTTAAATATTAATACATTATGGTCCATATATATGATAAATACAATGCAGACCTTAAAAATGACAACTTTTAAAAGTAGGTATTTAATGTTTCTGAAAGGATACATATGCAAATGGTAAGAAAACCTAATAGTATAAAAGATAATGGAGTAAAAATGTTAGTTTCAGTCCCTTCCTAATTTCCTGCCACTGGGATAACCATTACTTAGAGGTTCTTGCATATCCTTTCAGAGATAGTCAAGGCTTATGCAAGGATATGTTTCCCTGTTGCCTTTGCACAAATGCAAGCTTGTATTCACATTGTTCTGTGCCACATTATTTCTGCTAACAGCCTGTCTTTGAGATGAGTTAGTATCAGTTCATAGAGATCTACTGCATTCTATTTTTATAGTTGCATACCAAGAATGATATTTTAGCAATATGTATTGACATGTGAACATGTTTACAATATATTTCCAAGTGAGAAAAGACTCCAAGCAGTTTCTCTAATGCCATTTTTTTTTGTTGTTGTAAAATAAAGAGAAAATATTTTTATACACATACCTAGGAAAAATACTAGGATCATATGGAATTATAAGTCAGAATGTAAACAGTAGTTATCTTTGGGTGGTGGGATTTGGGATTTTTTTAATTTCATCTTTTTTGATGTCTTCTGAGGTTTCTGTATTGAACCTTAAAAACAAAGCAAAGCAGATGTGAGACCCATGAGGACAGGGGAGCTGTTCCTCCCTCAGTGGATCCAGAGGCTGACTCATTCCCCCACCCAGGATCCATCTGCCCCTTTGTGGTGAAAGCCACGGCTCTGGTGTCACTTAGGATTGCTGACTGCACAGAGCAGGATTCCCATAATGTTGCCTCATGCCACATGCTTGACAGTCATTGATGGTGGTGTGTGTGTGTGGTTGTTGTTGGTGGTGGGGGGGGTACTGATTAAAGTGCAGATTCCTGGGTCACATCTACTGAATCTCATACCTTGATAGTAGGCCCTGGGAATTTGCATTCTTAAAAAACAGGCTGGGTGGTCATACTGCCATTAAAGTTTGAGAAACTATTGTGTAGATCAGGAATTTGCCAACTTTTTCATAAAAGAGCAGAGAGTAAATATTTTAGACTTTGCTGGCCATATGGTTTCTGTTGCAATCACTCAAGGCTGCTGTTGTAGCATGAAAACAATCATAGCCAATATGTAAATGAATGAGCATGGCTGTGTTCCAATAAAACTTTATTTATAAAAAACAGGTGCCAGGCCAGATTTGGCCTGCAGGCCATAGTTTCAGACCCCATAGTTTCATGTTACCCTTAAAAAAAAAGTTAGACCAGCTGTGGTGGCTCATGCCTATAATCCCAGCACTTTGGGAGGCTGAGGCGGCTGGATCACCTGAGGTCAAGAGTTTGAGACCAGCCTGGCCAACATGGCGAAACTCCATCTCTACTAAAAATATAAAAATTAGCCGGGCGTGGTCGTGTGCACCTTTAATCCCAGCTACTCAGGAGGCTGAGGCAGGAGAATCACTTGAACCCAGGAGGCAGAGGTTGCAGTGAGCCAAGATCACGCCACTGCACTCCAGCCTGGGCAATGGAGTGAGACTCTGTCTCAAAAAAAAAAAAAAAAAAAAAAGAAATTGATCAGCAGGTGGGGGAGTCTACCAAGAGCTCCTTCTATTTGAAGAAGCAGGTCATAATATTAATAGCTACAATTAATTAAGTGATTATTATAAGCCTGGCAGTTTCCAGACAAAACCTACACCTTAATACAGCCCTGCATAGTAGCTATACCAACAAGGCCATTGAAAGAACAAAGTGATTAGCCCAAGCTTACATGATCAGTAATGACTGGGTTGGTCTGAATGCAGACTTGGGGAAGAAAGCGGTAATGCCACAGTTCTGTTACTTTCTGGTCTTTGGGAAAGAATGATTTCAAAATCTCTTCCCAGGGCATCGGGCACACACAGGTCCCTCTAAGCCCCCAGCCTAAGGAGGAATAGCCACAGCCACGCACTTGGTGGTGGTGCAGATCCTGGGGTAACTCTGTACCTCCCGGATGCCTCGAATAATTGGGGTTGTGAGTGGTGTGGGGTCTTCCAGGTGCATTGGACAATGCTCAGGTTGATGTGGCTCCGTTCACTTTCTTGAAGCGGGGGAGAGTGCTGTTGCTATAGAAATAGCTCAGGTCACTGTGCTGGACCTTTCTGAACCCTGCTGCTCAGAGTCTCCCATCACTGGGACCAAGAGCCCTTAGAGCCAGGCTCCTGACAGGAGACTTTTTTGTGTCCCTGCTCCAGTGACCATGCAAGTTTCCACATGGCCAGTGTTAAACATTCACCCTGCTTAAAGCCCATGGAGATAGGTTAGTGCCCTACTTGTCTGCAGACAGGGCTGGCCAAGAGAGACTGGCAGTGGCAGGCAGAAGGCAGTCCCTCGCTTCCTTCTGTCTTCTCCCCACCCCAGCCTTCCTGACCTTCAACCACATCCCGACTCTAGGGCAAAGAAAAACCCTCTGGGCTGAATTCAGCCTCTGGGGCTCATGGTTCAGCTTGATGGCTTTGCCAGGTAGCAACATGGGTGATGCTAGTCCCCTGTGAGGTAACTGTTATAAAGATACTAGTGTTTTACATTTATAGACAGCCCAGTTTGCCTTGACATGTTGGTTTATTACATAAAATCTTGAAGGCTTGGGCTGCTCATTGGATTAACTGAAATAATGGACATAAAACAGAAACCAGAGGCTGAGCATGGTGGCTCACGCCTGTAATCCTAGCACTTTGGGAGGCCAAGGCGGGCGGATCACGAGGTCAGGAGATCAAGACCATCCTGGCTAACATTGTGAAACCCTGTCTCTACTAAAAATACAAAAAATTAGCTGGGCGTGGTGGCGGGTGCCTGTAGTCCCAGCTACTCAGGAGGCTGAGGCAGGAGAATGGCGTGTACCTTGGAGGCGGAGCTTGCAGTGAGCCGAGATCGTGCCACTGCACTCCAGCCTGGGTGACAGAGTGAGACTCTGTCTGTCTCAAAAAAAAAAAACAAAAACAAAAAAAAAACCAGAAACCAGAACTTGGAATCCAGAACCCAGAACACACTGCTCAACCAAATAGTAGCAAATTGTATCATTGTTACCATCCATATTATGACAATCAGTAGTCCACACAGCAGCCCCTTTAAATCGATATTATCATTCTGTTTTTCACACATGAGAAAACTGAGATTCACAGACCCTGCTAGAGTTCTAAGGAGGGTCACAGGTTTGTCTGGCTTCCAAGCCACATGCTCTTAGTCACTATCATACATTTTAAAGTCAGAATATAAGGAGACCTAGGGCTGCTGGGAACCTTAGGGAGTCCCCATCCCAGGGACCTGCAGAAAGCCCTTGACAGATTATTCTTCAGTTCCCTCAATCACCTGAGAGCCTCCTGCCTTCCCACAAACCAGTGAGTGTCAAACTCCCTAAGCTAACAGCTTCATACTGTCCTCTTATCAGTTAATAAGCTGCTTACCCAGCCTCAGGTGGACATTTGGCTGCGGGTTAATGGGGCCTTTTTTGGCCCTGGTCCTGGCCCTTTAATCCACTCTCCCACCCCTTTCTGCTGTCTTTCTCTCTCTCCAAGGATGCAAGTATTAGTACTTCGGGAAACAACATAACACCTCCTGGTAGAAACCTCAATTCCATATTGCACCTGAGGTCGTGACTAGCCACTTGCCTTGGAAGGACCCTATCCAGGTTCAAGGAGGCAGCTTAGGCAGGTGTGAAGCAGCAGCCTGGATAGATGCCTCAGCCATTGAGCCCCAAACCATGCCCGGGGTGAACCCCCACCCCATCGCTCATCATCTGTATCTCAGTGAATTTCCTGTAAACTAGAGACATAGGAGTCATTCTTGACATGTCTTCTTGCCCAGTCCCCATCTCTTTACCCCTCCATGCTCTTGCACAGCCCAGTCTTGTCTTTGTGACCTAAATATCTCCTGAAGTTGTCCCTTCTCTCTTTGCACACTGCCACCCCACCATTCCATCTGGGCTCCTCCCACATGGCTCTGGACCTGGCCCCTTCAGTGTGTGCCCTGCTCTGTAATCACAGTAGCAGACTCAGGACTTTGAAATGAAAATTGGGTTCTGTAGTAGACTCCTGGTTCTGAAATGAAAATTGGGCCCAGGAGTCTAGCTCCTGCCATGTCCCCAGTCTCACCGAGCTATAGGGTTTCCACTCTTGCCAGCCTTGTTCCATGCTCCCTAAGACTGAGGTTCCTCATGCACCTTCCCTCTGTAGCACTTTGCACAGTTATTGACAGGAACATTTGATTAGTGCTTTGCCTCTCCAAGTAGACTGTTGTGTTTGCTCACTGCAGTACCACTCATGTCAGCAGACCACTTAAGGCATAGGGTGCATAAATGTCCTCTGGGCCCCTTGGGCATTGCACCCAAAGGGCTGGACCTGGAGCTCCTCCTCTGACCACCCCTAGTTTTGTTACTACTGTGGTGAAGATATAATCTGGGATCTTTCCTTTTGGTACCTGTGGATTGCCTGTAAGATGGAGGCAGGGATATTCTGGGGGAGAATGTTCTCCTCCATCCAACAGCTCTTGCCTTGCATTTCTTCCTTCTGCCTACCCCACGGTGCCTGCAGACAGGAAGACGCTAGGTCTGACCTGCCTTTTCCTAAGATCCCACCTCCATGTTTACCTGATCTTCTTTCTTCCTTATTGTCTCTTTCTTTACCCACCACTTTGTGCAGTATCTGGCCAATGCTATGGCTTCTTTTCCATGCCATGACACTAAGATTTCTTCCCCAGTCATCCTACTGGGGCTCATTAAAATTTAGAGCTATACAGGCTGAGGTCGAATCTCAGTTCTGCTGCTTGGGAGCTGTGGGACTTCAGGTGACTTATGGACCATTCTGGGCCTCCACACCCTCAGCTGACAAATGAGAGGGATAATTCTTATCATACAGGGTTTTATGAGAATTAAATGAAATTGTGTATATAAAGCAATTAGCTTAGTCCCCAGCTGTGTAGTAATCACTCAGTTAATGTGTTGAGGGGAGAAATCATGATTTTTGCTGCACTCAGAAAAGCTGTGAGTAATCTGCAGGTCCCATTATGGCTGTGGTTCATACACTTGGTTTTATGGTAGAATCGCATGGGGATCTTTAAAAAATTTCAACAGCTAGGCTACTCCCCCAGCCAGTGGGTCAGAATCTCAGTGGATGGGCTCTTGGTGTTGGTTGTTTCTATAGCTGCTCAGGTGATTTTCAGTGGGAAGCTAAGGCTGTCAGCCTGGGCTTTCCCAACGCCCCCCGCCCAGCCCCCCACCTCTTTCTGCCAGAGCACATATCTTGGAACTTTAAAGGAATAGGAGGGATGCGGGCTGAAAACATGGCGGGAAAAGCTCTCTTTATTGGGCTCCCACGACGTCTCTGGCACTGTGCTTGGTGCTTCACTTTCATGTTTCCATTTGATTTTCACTGTGACTTGTGATACAAAAATTATTGTCCCTGCTTCTTTTAGGAGCTTCAGGAAGGACGAGCTCCTTGCTTAATGTCAGGTATTAGGTGGCTTAAGGATGAAGGACCACGATTCGAGGTTGGTGAGGTTGGGGTGAGGACGCTGTCCCCTCTTCTCTCCCTCCTGCAGAGTGCTCCTTTGGTGAGGTGACTGAACGCCCCAATTTTCCCCACCCTCTGCGTGAGGCCTGGCTACTGCACCTGTCCACTGCAGTATTTAATGACCCAGCCTGCTTGCGGCTCACCGGGCCCTCGCCAGTGATCTGCCACCTGTTCTACCTTGCGCGGTGGTGCTGTTTGCTTAACGGGGAAATTTAAGTGCCTTGCAAAGACTCCCCATGGATTGGGGGAGAAGCATCCGCTGACTAGAAATGGGAGCATTGTTGTTGTTTTGTTATTGCCATAAATTTCCAGGCACTCTGTTGGGTTGGAAAATAGTGAGGGGTGGATGGGCAGAGAGAGGGAGGGATTCTTTCTTGTCTGACTGTGCAAGTGGATTAGAGAGAGAATTCTCTCCTTCATAGCTCCTCGAACTTTATGGTGCACGTGGAGCCCTGGGGATCTTGTTATGATGCAGATTCTGGTTTGATAGGTCTGGGGTAGGGCCTGAGGTTCTGCATTTCTGCCAAGCTCCTTATATGAGGCTGGTCCTATTGGTCTGCTAGCCACACTTGGCTTAGCAAAGCTATAGCTTCCAAGTGAGGGAGACTCAAGTCTGTTTTTTGGCCCCTGCAATTTTTATTTTGGAAAGTGTCATGGAATGTTATAGAAATCTGGATTCTAGCCCAGGCTACACTCTGATTTATCTTTGGATATCTTTTGAGCTTTACTTTTATCCTCTATAATTGGAGGGATTTGGATTAAGGGCTTCCAAGGTCCCTTTCAGTTGTAACATTCTATGATTCTGTCAGTTGGAGAGGGTAGATCACAGGGAGCATGGAGTGAGGAGGATGGGAACTAGTGGGAGGTGGGAGTTGTCAGGAGCACCCATTGCATATATGGGCTATTCTTTTTAGGATCACCAGGTTTGAATCCTGAGAGGCCAGAAGTGAGGAAAATAGGCAATGAACTTCCTTTTGTGCTGTGTGTCCAAGATCCCAGCGTAGACTATGAACTCCGGGCAGGTAGTGACAGTGACTCTTACTTCCTGACTCACATACTTGGCTTCTCCAAATGGCAGGAGTGTATTTGGGGATGTTAGCCATTCTGTGGGTTTCATGGAGGGTAGGCACTGTGGGATACAGATACAAGCAAGGCACACTTTTCATCCTTGGTGAGCACAGTGTTTTCTTAAGAGAATGGCATATCTTTCAGAACCTGGAGTCTTGCTGTTACTTTCAGATTGGAATTGCTCTTCCTGATACTGTGTGTCCAGCAACTGGGGTCTTTGCCTATGGGCTACTGTCAGCGTCTCCTGATGTCCTGACTGTTGGTTCTGGGTCTGCCCCTACCTGCCCAACAGTGTATCTCTAGGATGTCGCTTGCTCTCCACC